>NC_000024.10:3939946-4240356 GCF_000001405.40 Homo sapiens | reverse complement strand
AACTTTGGAAACTGTACAAATACATGGAAACTAACAACATGCTCCTGAATGACTAATGGGTCAATGATATATTAAGAAGGTACTTAGAAAATTTCTTGAAACAAATGACAAAAGTAACAGAATATACCAAAACCTATGGAACACAACAAAAGCACCACTAAAAGGGAAGTTCATAGCAATAAACACCTATATAAAAAAAGAACGTTTTCAAATAAACAATCTATAAATGGACCTTGAGGAACAAGGAAAATGAGAGCAAACCAAAGCCAAAATTAATAGAAAAATAAATAATAATGATCCAGCAGAAATAAAGACTAAAAATAAAAAAGATCAATCAAATGAAACAAAGTGTTTTTAAATAAACAAAATAAACAAATAACTAGCTAGACTAAAATAAAAAGAGCCCCAAAAATTATTAAAAAGAAAAAATTGCAACTGATAACACAGAAATACAGAATATCATGAGAGATTATTATGAACAACTATATGCCAATAAAATGGAAAAGCTAAAGGGAAATGGATAAACTCCTGGACACACAGAACCTATCAAGAATGAACCAGGAAGAAATGGAAAACCTGAGCAGACCAAAAACAAGTAACAAGTTTGAAGTGCTAGTAAAATATTTCTCACAACATCAAAAATACCTAGGATCAGATGACTTCATTGCTGAATTCTACCAAACATTTAAATTAAAATTAATTTCAATTTTTCTGAAACTATTCCAAAAATTGAAGGGTAGGAAATTATTTTAAACTCATTCTATGAGGCCAGCATTGCCCTGACACCAAAACCAGGCAAGGACAAAACAACAACAAAACTGTAGGCCAATATCCCTGATGAGCATAGATGCAAAAATTATTAACAAAATACTAGCAAACTGAATCCAACAGCACATCGATACAATTATACAGCATAATTAAATAAAATGTATTTCAGGGATACAAGAATGGCTTAACATACACAAATCAATAAATGTGATAAATCATATAAACAAAATGAAGGAAAAACAATCATCTCAATAGATGCAGATAAAGCATTTGATAAAATTCAACATTTCTGAATAATAAATACTCTCAATAAACCAAGTATAGAAGAAACATACCTTAAGAAAATAAAGGCTATATGTTGCAACTAACATCATCCTGAACAAGGAAGAATTGAACCTTTTTTTCTAAAATCTGGCACAAGACGTGAATGCCCTCTTTCACTACTGTTATTTGACACAGCACTGAAGGTCCTAGTCAGAGCAATTAGAGAAGACAAAGAAATAAAGTGCCCTTAAATTGGAAAGGAGGAAGACGAATTGTACCTGTTGGCAGATGGCGTGTGTTTTTATATAGAAATTCTGAAGACTCTACCAAAATCTTTTAGAACTAATAAATGCATTCAGTAAATTCACAGGATAAAAATCAACATACAAATACATTTGCATTTTTATACACCAATAATAATCTAGGTGAATAAGAAATTGAGAAAGTAATACCATTTACAATAGCCACAAAATATCACGTATTTAGGAATAAATATTACCATGGAGATGATAGATCTCTACAATAAAAATAATGAAACTCTGATGAAATAAAGAAGACATTTAAAAAATAAAACATCCCGTTTTCATGGATTGAAATAATTAATATCGTTAAAATAACCACACTACCCAAAGTTATCTACAGATTCCATGTAATCCCTAACAAAACATTCACAGGATTTTTCACAGAAATATTTAAAAAAGACAATAAAAACATTTATATGGGACTAAAAACGATCTAAAATAGCCAAAGGAGTCTTCTGAAAAGAACAAGCAAGAGGCATTACACTACTTGACCTAAAATGTACTACAAACATAGTAATAAAAGTAGCATGGTACTGGCATAAAATCAGGCACATAGACTAATGGAAAAGGGTAAAGGACCCAGAAATAAATCTGCATATATACAGCCCAATGTTAACAAAGTTTTCAAGAATACATATTGGGGAAATGACAGTATCTTCAATAAATGGTGGTTGGAAAATTGCATATCCATGTACAAAGAATAAAACTAAAGCCATATTCCCCACTATATACAAAGTTGAACTCAAAAGTAAAGTAAACACCTAAATATAAGACCTGAAACTATAACACTTCCAAAAGAAAACAGGAAAATCCTTCAGGACGTTGGCCTGGGCAAATATTTTATGGCTAGGACCTCAAAAGCACAGGCAACAAAAGTAAAAATAGGCAACTGGAATTGTATCAAAATTAAAAGTTTCTGCAAGGAAAGAAAAACAATAAATAAAGAGACAATCAGCAGAATGGGAGAAAATATTTTCAAACTACTAATTTGACAAGAGACTTACATATAGAATATAAAAGGATCTCAACTCTACAGCAGAAAAATAAATAACCTGATTAAAAAAGACAGCAGAAGATCTGAAGAGTAATTTCTCAAAAGAAGACATACAAACATTAAAAAGTATATCAAAATGTTCATTATTACTAAGAATCAGAGAAATGCAAATCAAACTCACAGTGGTATCATCTCACCTTAATTAGAATGGCTATTATAAAAAAATGGTAGTGAGAATGCAGAGAAAAGCTTATACCTAGCTGGTCAGAATGTAAATCAGTCATCAGTTAAGAAACAGAGCATGGAATTTCCTCAAATAACAAAAAACAGAGCTGTTGTATCAGCCAGCCATCCTGCTATTGAATACATATTTTTTAAAAAGTAAATTAGTATTTCAAAGAGATACCTGTACTTGAATATTTTTCTCAGAACTTGTCACCATAATCAGAATATTGACTCAACCTAAGAGTCCATCAACAGATGAATAGATAATGAAAATGTGGTATAGATTCACAATGGAATATCATTCAGCCTTTAAAAAGAATAAAATCCTGCTAAATGTGGCAGAATGGATGAATCTGTAGGACATTACATCAAGTAAACTGATCCAGGCTCAAAAACATAAATACCATGTGTTCTCACTCACATGTAGAAGCTAAAAATGTTTATATCATTGAAGGAGAGAGTAGAATAGTAGTAATTAGAGGCTGGGAATGATAAGGGGCTGTATAGGGGAAGGTGGTTTATTGGATACACAATTATAGCTAGATAAGAGGAAAAATTTCTAGTGTGACTAGTGTGACTAGTAAACAATAATTTATTCTGAATTTTTAAACAGCTATAAGAGAGGATTTTTAATATTCCCAATACAAACAAATGATAAATGTATGAGGTGATGAATATACCAATTACCCTGATTTGAGCATCACATATTTTATACATACATTTTATATAGGTATCAAAATTGCACCTCTACCTCATAAATATGTACAATGACTATATGTCAACTAGAATTTCAAAAAAGAAATAGCCAAACAAATTATACTTCAAAAACAATGAGAAAACTGTCATCTTAAAATAAACAATGTAACATACATCAAAGAAATATTGCTTCTTTCACCCTCAAGTATCTCTAAGGTAGTTAGCATTTTTTATATGAGAGTGCAAGAGAAAAAATCATTACATAGTGAAGACTGATTTTCTCATTTGAGAGTTTTCTTCTATTTTCCATTGTTTAATATCCCTGAGAAGTAGTTTTGTTACCAAACACTAGGGATTTGGCCTAGGTCCTGCTGTTCATTGCACTGAAAGCCAATCATTGAGTCAATGATTATTGCCAAGAAAAAAGACTTTAAACAGGTGCTACAGCCAGGGAGAGGGGAGATCAGTCTCAAATCCATCTCCCTGACTGACTAAAATTAGAGGTTTATATAGCAGGAAAGAAATGTAACTATGTATAGGAAAACAGGAATTCAGGTGAGGTAAGGAAGTAATCATGATGAATGAGTGGTCTGGTGTCTCATGGTCTGGATGTGATATCTGATGAGTTTGATATTTGATACCTTTTGAGAGGGCTAATACCTCATTGTCTTAATCTGGTGAGTTTCAAGTTTTAAGACTAGAATGGTCAATTTCTATTTTTATAAAAAAAAAAACCTATGTGACTATTAGATTGGTTTCAGCACCTCCCCCCCCACCCTTTTATTTATCAATTCCTCAATCATGGGGATTCTGATGATCAATCATTCTGGCTTCTTCCTGCTGAGGAGGGGCATTGTGGGTACTCCATACCATGGGTGATCATGTGGCCATGGAGAAATCAAAGATTGGTACTATAGTTTTCTTTTGAAATACAATTTTTCTCTCTCTAGTCACCCACTTTCACCAAAGACCAATTATAATAGGGCAAACCTTCCTGCAAAATAAGATTTAGTCCCATATACTTGGCCTGATTACCCATATAAAGTGCAGAAATAATTATTGTCCAAATAGGCTCTCTTGAGTTGGCTTTGCTGAAACTTCTCACAGACCATTTCAGTCAAAACCCTTGGAAAATAATCAGTTCCTCCAACTGCATCCCCTTATAAAAGAAAACAAGTTCTTACTAAACATATACAAACAATCACATTGCCATGAATTAAGAATATTCAGAAATAGTTTACAAATTTTAGGCAGAGAGAGAGAGGACTATGACTCAAAAGCTTCAATCTATCCTCAATATACTTAAAGTATATTTAAAGGCTATAAATAGTTCTAAAGAAAAAAGTTCTCCAGATTCTGAAAAACAAAGAATCAACAATATTTCAAGCAAAAAAGCCATAAAAATTACATCAGTCCACCATTAGTTCAGACCATCCAATCAGCTCCTACTGTGCTTCATATTTGGTTAGCAGTCTTTATAAACACATCAGCTAGTTAATTAGACTGCTGGAAGTTTTCTTTCTAATCCGGTGACACAATCTCCAAAGTTATCAGAATCCTTTATTCATGAGTTCCTTCCATAAACTGCCCCAAAGAAGCAAGCCCTGGATTAAAACTGATTTTAAGTCACTTTTTAACAAGAATCAACAAGAAACAATTGTGGATGACAAAAGTCTTAAAACGGTCATAGTTAAAGATACAGTTGATAAGGAAATTACGTAATTTCTGTTGGCAAAAAAAAAATTCAACATAATTATAATCATTACTTAACAAATATATTAAGGTATGTCAGAATTTCAGGAATATCATACAGTCCTAGAACACATATTAATAACACATCTTTATAAATATAACCCAAAAGAAGTTAAATACTATGTCACATTTGACAATGATTTTTGTATAATTCTAACTTACC
This sequence comes from Homo sapiens, assembly GCF_000001405.40. Taxonomy (NCBI): domain Eukaryota; kingdom Metazoa; phylum Chordata; class Mammalia; order Primates; family Hominidae; genus Homo; species Homo sapiens. Next base: position 4,235,192 of record NC_000024.10, on the reverse strand, counting down.
GAATAAACCTAAAGTGTCTCTGTTGGTCTTCAGGGGACCCAATATAAAAAAAAAAAAAGTTAGTATGAGGTTAAAAAGACTGAATTTCGAACTTGAAATTTTGCTGTTGGAAAATCTTTCAACTATCAAAGGTTTAAGACAATTGATACTACAAAATAGAACCCACAAGTTACTACAAACTAGTCATTCATTTAGCCAAAATGATACTACAAAAACAATTATCCTTTGATAGTGATGAGACGAAGTTTCTCAAACAATGAAACCTAATAAAGATAGCATGAGGTCAAATAAATTTGTCTCTCCCTATCCTTTTTCCCCTGCAGTTTAATCAAATGGTAAACAAAAATCTCCTATTATCCCGTAAGTGAAAATTTTCTCCAAAGAAGAAAACCAAATTTTACCTTTGTATGGTGTATTATTAATGTTAAAGCTAATTTTAATAAAATTTAATAAAACCTTAAAAACAAATCTAATTTTAATCAGTTTGACCATAAGATAAAATTTCTGTTAAATCTTTTATAACTCTATTAAAGAGCAGATCAATGCTCCAAGAAAACCCTGTTATTTTTACACACAGGCCTAGATGTTGGCTTTACATCAGTGTGCTTTTAATATTAATGTTTAATTTATATATTAAAAAAACTCTGAACAAATTTTATCTCACAAAATTGGCCCTTAAAATTTCATGTGCCCACCTGTTTCATGATAGTCCCTGAGTCTAGATTGAACGGTTCAAACTTTTTGTTCTGTGTTTCACAAAAGCATTCATTCTGATTTTCACTTTCTCTGTGGTCTCAAAACACAGCTTAGACTGTTGTCAATGCTCAAAATTTAGCAGAAGGGTGTGCCTTTTCAGATTCAAAGGCACTTTGTGCTGTTAAGTTCCAGGATTCAAAGCCCTATAACTTAACAGCACAAGGATGGGTTAATAAGATATTTATACCACAGAAAGTGCTATCATTTTCTCTATCGTGTATGCCTTTTCAGATTCAAAGGCACTTTCTGCTGTTAAGTTCCAGGATTCAAAGCCCTATAACTTAACAGCACAAGGATGGGTTAATAAGATATTTATACCACAGAAAGTGCTATCATTTTCTCTATCGTTTCACAAATTAAAACACTGTGATTTGGTGTTTAGAGGCTACTGCCTGCTGCACTTGAAACCACTGTGTATTAAGTTAGTCAGATTACTTATTGCATGTCTAGTTGCTAGCATTCTAGTGACAAAACTGTGATCAAAAGCATCCAAACTTTTGTTTGGATAGTTCCTACTATCCAAACTTTTGTGATAGTTCCTGCTCCAAACTTATCAAAGTAAGATGACTAAGGTTTCTCTTCATCATTTAAAAAATTATAAATGCAGTTATCAGTTTTGGAAATTCAGTGTGAGGAAAAATAATCTCCTTTCATTTAAATACTATACAACAAAACAGGGACAAATTAAGAACAAGCACACAGTAATTTCTTTTCAACTGTTTTAAAAGGACATCATCACACATTTCCAAGATTGGTTTCTAGATACAGTACAGACAACTGATTAGGTAACTTTCACCAGTAAAATATTCAAGCCAGGGTAACACTTGTACATATTTCATTTTCAATTATACACATCGAGGCCTATCAGTGATAAATGGCTTGGGATTAAAAAAAATTACTAGAAAGTCATACATTTTTTTATTATGACTTAACCCAAGCAAATGTCATTGAATTTTAATAATGTTAAATACAACTAAATTGGTTTGAGAGAAATCACAGACCAAACTGTTCTGAACATTAAAACTTTACGTCCATGTCATAATTTTTCTTCATTCCCTAAATAAAAAGATCTGAAACCAACTCAAATTATTGATTGAACTGAATTACCTTGGAAATAAACATTATTTAAACATCTTTATTCTCACCTACTTTTTTCAAATGAAGTAATGTAACACTGCTGCTCAAAACATGTAAAAATAAATCTTATTTATTTTATTTTTACAGAAACCTTAAAGCTTTTGTAGCTCTCTGTCAGAGGTAAACAAAACCAATCAAATTTTAAATAGTTGATGTCCTTTATTACTTACTTTTTGCAGGTTTGACATAGGCAGCTTGGAATTTTAGATAAATAGAACAGATGATGAATTGTTGGAAATGCATAGGCCAATAAATGGCTATTCATGGGATCAAATAAAAGTCTTCCATTAGAAACTAAAAGCCATCAATGGTTTTATATATATGTATATATAATTAAAATTCCAAAAAGATCAAACAGCAATAAATGAAAATTAAAAGCAAAAACAAATAAACAGAAAACCGACTCCAATTATTTCTCCTACTCAGTTTATATGAGAGGCTACAATGTTACCCAGAGCCTAAAACAAACACCTAATGGACATTTTGTTTCTGGTATACAGATTAATGTCTTCAAGTTGATCAATACCAATATATATTTTGTGCAACTGAGAAATTCACTGTAGGCAGATGACCAATAAGTACATTAGTACTTGTACTGATAGGTGAAGGAGGCAGAGAAATTCTAGGCAGAAAAGGGCAGGTCCCCAGTGAAACCCTCAAGCCAAAAAGCCTGAAACCATGGCCTAAAATGAGAACTTATATCCCTGTTTTCCTGCTTGAATGTTGTCTTTTCCTAAACTACCCATGACCCACCCTGTCCTCCATTATGTGCCTGTAAAGACCCAAGATTCAGCTGGAGAGGAGCAGAGACTACGGTTGGATGTTGGAGAAAAATGGCTTGATTTCGGAGGGACAGCTTGATGGTGTAACCTTGGAGAAGAATCTGGCTGGAGACAGCCAGACTTCAGGGGAGGATTGCCTACCTCCCCATCCCCTTTTGAGCACCTCTTCCCACTGAGAGGCAATTTAATCAGCAATAAAATACCCTGCATATATCATCCTTCAATTTGTTCATTTAACCTCATTTTTCCTGGACTCTGGACAGGAGCTTGGGAGCCACAAGTGGATACAAAAGACTGTCACACTGGCCCTTTCCCCTCACTGGTGGAGGGCAGCTGCCCCACACAATGAGGCAAAGTGCCCACTGAGCTACAAACACTTAAGCCATCCATGGATGACACAGCTTAAAGAGCACTGGTAACATGACCTCTAGGGCTTTGGGGTCACAGGCATCCATACGTGGACAATGCCACAGGGCCCACATGGAGCTCACTCCTGCTGACACCAAACCAGTTGGCCAGTTCCAGTGCTTGCACACTCCAGTTCTCATCTGAAGTTGAGAGTAGAAGGCTGAGTAAATGAGGTACCCTTGTAGTGAGTCCTGTATACTCTTTTTCTATTGTTTGGAATAGTTTCAGAAGGAATCGTACCAGCTCCTCTTTGTACCTCTGGTTGAATTCAGCTGTGAATCCACTTCATCCTGGGCTTTTTTTGATTGGTAGGCTATTAATTACTGCCTCAATTTCAGAACTTCTTATTGGTCTGTTCAGGGATTCGACTTCTTCCTGGCTTAGTCTTGGGAGGGTGTATGTGTCCAGGAATTTATCCATTTCTTCTAGATTTTCTAGTTTATTTGCATAGAGGTGTTTATAGTATTCCCTAATGGTAGTTTGTATTTTTGTGGGATCAGTGGTGATATCCCCTTTATTATTTTTTATTGTGTCTATTTGATTCTTCTTTATTTTCTTCTTTATTAGTCTGGCTAGCGGTCTATCTATTTTGTTAATCTTTTCAAAAAACCATGTCCTGGATTTATTGATTTTTTGAATTTTTTTTTGTGCCTTGATCTCCTTCAGTTCTGCTCTGATCTTAGTTATTTCTTGTCCTCTGCTAGCTTTTGAATTGGTTTCCTCTTGCTTCTCTAGTTCTTTTAATTGTGATATTAGGGTGTTGATTTTAGATCATTCCCACTTTCTCCTGTGGGTCTTTAGTGCTATACATTTCCCTCTAAACAGTGCTTTAGCTGTGCCCCAGAAATTCTGAAACGTTGTGTCTTTGTTCTCCTTGGTTTCAAAGAACATCTTTATTTCTGACTTCATTTCGTTATGTACCCAGTAGTCATTCAGGAGCAGGTCATTCAGTTTCCATGCAGTTGTGTGGTTTTGAGTGTGTTTCTTAATCCTGATTCCTAATTTGATTGCACTATGGTCTGAGAGACTGTTTGTTATGATTTCCATTCTTTTGCGTTTGCTGAGGAGTGTTTTACTTCCAGTTATGTGGTGAATTTTAGAATAAGTGCGATGTGGTGCTGAGAAGAATGTATATTCTGTTGATTTTGGGTGGAGAGTTCTGTAGATATCTATTAGGTCCACTTGGTCCAGAGCTGAGTTCAAGTCCTGGATATCCTTGTTAATTTTCTGTCTCATTGATCTGTCTAATATTGACAGTGGGGTGTTAAAGTCTCCCACTATTATTGTGTGGGAGTCTAAGTCTCTTTGTAGGTCTCTAAGAACTTGCTTTATGAACCTGGGTGCTCCTGTATTGGGTGCATATGTATTTAGGATAGTTAGTTCTTCTTGCTGAATTGATCCTTTCACCATTATGTAATGCCCTTCTTTGTCTTTTTTGATCTTTGATGGTTTAAAGTCTGTTTTATCAGAGACTAGGATTTCAAACCCTGCTTTTTTTTTTTTTTTTTTTTGCTTTCCATTTTCTTGGTAAATATTCCTCCATCTCTTATATTTTGAGCCTACGTGTATCTTTGCACGTGAGATGGGTCTCCTGAATACAGCATACCGATGGGTCTTGACTCTTTATCCAATTTGCCAGTCTGTGTCTTTTAATTGGGGCATTTAGCCCATTTACATTTAAGGTTAATATTGTCATGTGTGAATTTGATCCTGTCATTATGATGATTTTGCCCGTTAGTTGGTGCAGTTTCTTCATAGTGTCGATGGTCTTTACAATTTGTATGTTTTTGCAGTGGCTGGTACCAGTTTTTCCTTTCCATATTTAGTGCTTCTTTCAGGAACTCTTGTAAGGCGGGTCTGGTGTTGACAAAATCTCTCGGCATTTGCTTGTCTGTAAAGGATTTTATTTCTGTTTCGCTTATGAAACTTAGTTTGGCTGGATATGAAATTTTGGGTTGAAAATTCTTCTCTTTAAGAATGTTGAATATTGGCTCCCACTCTCTTCTGGCTTATAGAGTTTCTGCAGAGAGATCCACTCTCTGCAGAGAGATCCATATACACCATGGAATACTATGCAGTCATAAAAAATGATGAGTTCATGTCCTTTGCAGGGACATGGATGAAACTGGAAGCCATCATTCTCAGCAAACTAACACAGGAACAGAAAACCAAACACTGCATGTTCTCACTCATAAGTGGGAGTTGAATAATGAGAACACATGGACACAGGGAGGGAAACATCACATACCGGGGACTGTCATGGGTTGGGGCGATAGGGGAGGGATAGCATTAGGAGAAATACCTAATGTAGACGATGGGTTGATGGGTGCAGCAAACCACCATGGCATGTGTATACCTATGTAACAAACCTGCATGTTCTGCACATATATCCCAGAACTTAAAGTATAATTAAAAAATAGCCAAACTTCCAATGTGTTTCATTATAATAGTTCTCAGTTTGCCTTCATTGACACTAAGAGCTTTGACTATAAGCAATGTTAATTGCCATTTCTTCAGTTTTCTATCATGTTTTAAAGATTTTATTAACTAAACATTTTCAGCTTTCTATTTTCCCTTCAGGTACACAAAGCTTTTTCCAATAGCTTTTACCTTTGAACTATAGCCATGAGATAGCAATACAAACTTACCTGTCTATGAACATGTTTACATGACTAAACTTTGTTTGCCCCAGTAGGTAACCCAATGTAGGCTGTGAACCAAAATTTTGGGTAAAGCAACTTCAATGGCAGTTTTATTCTTAAAGACCCAAACCTCCCCAGGCTCCAAAGAATATTAGGGTCAAACAGCACCTCAGGACATCACCTGGAACCTACTAACTAGGCACATACCTGCGTAGAACAGCGGCATAAGATCCTGAAAAAACACACTTTCTCATTCAATAGAAAACTCCAGATTCCAAAGAATATTAGGGCCAAACAGTGTTACAAAGGAATATCTGTTTATTGAATTCTAATTTTTCATGAAACACACACAAACAATCACCAAAACACAATCCAACTACTGCAGAAACACACAAGCCCCAAGAATGTCCAAACTGAAACAATCTGAATGCTTCCCTTTCCATTAGGTGGACTTGGTCAATTTGTAAACAAAAATTACTGCAGAATTTGTCAAATTGAGAGGAGTCAATCCCACTGCCTGGTACCCACAAAAAACACTGACATGCCCAGACACATAAACACAACACACAATTACACATAAGCCCCCAGAAGCGTCCATACTGAAACAGTCAGGGTGCTTCCCTCCTCTCTCAGTCAGTAGGGCTTATTCAACCTGCAAATGGGAATTCCTTTAAAATTTTCCTGGTGTTTCAGTAACACCAGGAGTTCAGTCTAGCTCCTGCTACTCCTGTTGGCTGTATAGAAAGCCAATCACTGAGATAATGGTTATCACCAAGGGAGAGTCTTTAATCAAGTGCTATAGCAAAGAAGATGTGAGATCAGTCTTAAATCCATCTCCCTGACTAACTGAAATTAGATTATATAGCAGGGAAGAAATGTAACAATGAATTGGAAAAGGGAAACTCAGGATGGTTAAGGAAGCAATCATGATGAATGAGGGTCCTGACATCTCATTGTCAGAATGTGATGATCTGGTGAGTTTGAATTCTTTGATACCATTTGAGAGGCCTGGTATGTCATTGTCTGGATCTGGTGAGTTTCACGTTTTAAGATCAGAAAGGTCAATTTCTATGTTAATCAAAAAAAAAATAAAAAACTCTCTATGGGACTATTTGGTATGTTTCAGTTTCAATTATTCTTGAAATTAATATACACCTGAACTTTGGCAGTATCAGAAAGACAATCAATCTGATGGATATAGATTTACTAAATAGTGTAGAGGATTTAGCAGAAGGTTCACTAATGTCATGTTTGCAAAAAGTGAAAAGCAGTTGCTTTCATCACTAAGATACATAATGTTTTCTGAAACTGTATTCCAGTCCATGTGTTTGATTACCAAATACCCTGTGCTAAATGGATACCCTAACCAATTTCCCTTGGGACTGGACTCTGCATTCGTTCCTTAGCAATTTTCCTTCCCAAAAGTTCAGTTTTTACTCCTGTCTCTTCACAATTCACTCATATTTCACATAATTATATTATAACAATTAATAGATACAGGGGTTATTGCAGTTCCCAGGCTTATAAAAATACTTTTAAAAGCTTTTATTAGTGTCTTTTGAGTCCATTTTCTTGGGGATAGGTATGTGTCAACCAAAAGAAACACAACACAGTGATTTGTGTGAATGAACTATAGCATGTGATGGTGAAAAGCATTAAGAATTAAGGATCTAGATTTAGGGATCTACATTCCCATTTTGAACCTAATATGTGCCACGGTCTTAGGTCTGATACAATAACTATGAAATAACTGAAAAGTCTAAACATGGCACAATTATAAAATTTATAGTTTTCCATGCTCCTATTCCTTCACTGTCTCATATTTTACATGCCAAGTTAGTTTTACTTAATTATATTTCTATAAAAAGTAATTCTCACACCCGCATACACACACACAGGCACTCAAACCACACGGAAATACACCATACTCCCCAACCTCACCTCCATTGTGTTCCAACAAAATGTATGTACACAATTTTTAGTTCTTTTACTATCCCTAAACAGTGCCTAGAATATATATATGACTATATTTTTTTGATATGCAGCCTTATAATTATTGACATAGAGGCAATCTATTTTGACTAGTTTGTATTCTTGTCACCAAATTCTTCAATGTCACTCACTTTATTAGATACTAATGGCACAGGACTTGTCTACAAACAATCAAAACAGCAAACCGATCATTACTTTCAAGTTATGTTCAAATTTTGGTAAGTTTACTGAAAAAAGAAAAAATAATCTCAGATGATTTTGTTAAGTTTGCAAGTAGGTCATGTAAACATATCTTGAAATAAGAAAAATTTCAATAGCTTCTTTCCCGAAACTCCAGAAATGTAAAACTAAAATAAAAGGAGAAAAGTGTTACCACCAATATGTATAAGTGAATATACATATGTATACAGACACATATATATAGTAAGTAAACTGGATACTAGAGTATAATGCTTACAAAATGTAGATATTTTGAAATAAATGTTTGTCATCTTAAAAGGAAAATATACAAAGAGAATGGAATGTATAAGAATTTAGACTTATGTAGGAATTTTAATAGCATGGAAACACGAGTCATTTTATGTACCATAAAAGGCAATGTTTTTGCTTAATAAAATAACACAACTTATTCTCCATCAAAGTGTACACAAACCCACACACACACACATATATAGGACATTTCATATATATGCATATAATTTGCACATATAAATTATATAGGCACAAATATTTAATATTTTTATTGGAATGATAACCCATTATGGTAGATAAAAGCCATGAAATTTAGAGACATTCTTATATTTAATATAATTATGCAGTTTCAAGAACGTAATCCTGTATGTCTGAATTTGTAAGAAATAATAACAAATGGTTGGTGATTTGAAAAGTGTTTTGTGTATGGTTATAATAAAATATTTTGTGAAATTGTTTTAAATCTTGATTTCCTTATTAAATGTACACTTTTTATGCACAATAGTTATATTGAGTTAATTAACAGAAACACAGTGGCATTGCTACAGTTGCTGTGAACTGTATCATGATTCACATACACATAGTGTGCACCTGCAAAGAGAGAAAAGACAAAAAGAGAAAAATATAAATTTAGTTCTTTTTTTAGTAACAGAATGGGAAATCATCTTAGAAAAGCAAAATGCCATATTGGAAGCTTTTCTTTTTTATTGTTTCTACTAGATTGTCTTCATAAAAGGAATTAGACACGAAAAGTTTTCACACTGCCAAAGATAGTCTCTCTGAGCCTTTTTTAGGTTTAGTCTTGTTTAAGTGCAGTGAATGGATTAATGACCTTTCAAGATCCCTTCTAGTTCTATCTTTCAATAGACATCTCTAACTAAAGAAAAGAAAGAATGACACAGTTTGATCTTATACATAAAATATGCTTCTAAAATGTGTGCATAATGTGAATTAATAACGATATACAAAGTCACATTTTCTCAGTTACAATTTCACACCTGTGCTTTTCCACAGGAATATTTGGCCCAGCAACAATAAATACTGCACTTAAGAATTCTAATATCAATTTCAAATAGCTATATATCATTGTATACAGTCTGCAAGTTAAAAAATTAAGTTGTGTAGCCATTTATTTTTAATAGTAGGCAATTTTAATTGTAGATATACATATATCTTTTCATTGATTTGTGTATCATTAAGAGGTCTCTTTCGTAAAGGGATTTGAATCTGAATGTGTTCACCTTGTGTAGTCCTCATGCTAATGTAATTTCTGGAAGGGATGAAAGAACCTATTTTTCTTTTCCTTTTAAGGTAAAACCAGTTTATTTTATCATCTAGTACACATTTATAAAATGTTTGATGTAAAATACAAGCAGATGATAAGAATAAAATCTTTTAATTAATCACATTACATAAATGATATTTAAACACATAGACAAGAGTTACTAAGGGCTGACTCATTTTTGCAGAAAATCTTGGAAGTCCACATTATGAGTTGGGTTACTCCTGTAGCATCTTTCAAATGTTGCTGTGACTTTAGTACAAATGTTTATAGGTGAGACATTCTGACAGGGTAAACCCAGGCCATTCTTCAATTGCTTCAGCATGGAAAAGCAAAACTGTTCTATCAGCAAATGCTTAGAGTGAGATTTAAACTACACAAGAAAAGATAGATAATCTATGCTTTGTTAACATTTCTAATATAGATATATAAATAGATAATCATAAAACAATGGCCCGTAAGGTTACAGATTAGGCTGAATAAATATAACGTATATAAGCATATTTTATGAATAGTTTACAAATACATATATCTTTAACATTTGTAATTATCAAATTATCAAGTTAACAGAATGATTACTGTACATGACGTGTTATTATTAAATGTTGTCTTTGAGGATATTATTTCTCCATTGGAAGGGTAAAGGCAAGTACTGCAATACTGTATATAATACTGTGTATTCGAAAGTGTACTGCTTTGGTAGAAGAACTGTCCTAACCCTGCTGTTCTAGTCTTCTAGTCTTTTTTTAAATGTTTCCTCTAAACTTTAGAGTAAAACTGATTTTTAAAAAATTTCAAATAAATATTACCAGTTAAAATGGAAAGCCACATTGTGAAAATGGAATAAGTATTGGACAGTAAACTAGGGGGCCTTCACCTAAATTCTGTTTAGGTCACTTTGAAACCTTCAGGAATATCATATAGCTTATCTGCCTCTAAGGAAGTTGCTTCATGTGAGGGGCTTTAATCAGATTTGTACTCCCCAAATAGTGTTTCAAGGAATATTATTCCCATAAGGTACAACAGAATAAAAGCCTCCATATTCAAATACATCTGAGGAATGTCACATACTATATTCCCATCTTATAGTCAGAAGCATTCTACCTCTTTTAAAAGTTCTGAGAAAATGTGCAGTGGAAAACAATTTTTAAAAACAAAAAAAATCTGTTTAATATTGCCTGATTCAACATTCTGTAAATTTGATAAGAGAACTGCTTTTCAACACAAGGCCTACTTTAATCCTGTAGATGTAATGTTTTAAGGAATACACTTTATAAAACTTTAAACTAGATAATATATGCTTTGTTAACATTTCTAATAATGAAGTGATTACCGTACATGGTGCATTATTATTAAATGTTGTCTTTGAGAATATTATTTCTCCATTGGAAGAGTGAAGGCAAGTACTGCAAAATTAGCAAACACCCATGATTGTTTGTGACTTATAGAGTGTAGCATTATCATTAGATTTACGATAGAAAATGGCTTTTGTATGGTAATTCTATCTTGTTCTAAATATTATCTCCAACATTTTCACCATTTAATTGTCAGGGAAATAAATGCTTATGTGATTGTGACGAACTCTGTTCTTATCAAACATGATTTACAGAGTCTTGACAATGACCAGTAAGGTGTGGCTGACTGTGCTCACTGTGATTCAGTCACAGTTAAATATCTTATAGTATCTTTGCACTGCCATGAAGAGCTCAAGTGTCGCTCCAAGTATATTACATCCAATCTATTTTTAATATATGTTATATCTTGTATATTGTCAGCCATCTGTGATGGAAAAAGTTTCGATTCAGAGTTTAAGGTATTAAATGAGGAAAGTTTGTTGTTCACTAAACCACAAATTAAATTAATTATCTCCTAAGTCATTCAAGGTTTCCCAGTAGTAAATAGTTTATCAGAATATATTAAACACTTTAGGAATAGGCATTAAATATTGTGGGCAACAAGGATACCATTTGGTATACTGAAGCAATAACTAATTTAAAAGTTTATCTATTTATTAAGAGTGCTTCATTTTCTCCCAATATATAGCACAGACACTGGAAGTATCTGGTTCAATATTTTCTAAAGTACATCCTTTTATTCTACTCATAATTTGTGGTTCTGTAGGGCACTAAGAGGCAGTGACATTCAAGCAGAAAATCTTTAAAGAAAAACAATCTGCCTTCACTCATTGACTTTTCTCTCTTTTGATGAGCATTTGGACATTTTAGATTCTGAAGGTCAAAAATGAATCTATTTTTATATTTATCTTTAATCTAACCATGTGTGCAAGACCAATAATCTGTACTAAATGTGCTCAAGGAATTATTCTCTCTACCAAAACAGAGTATTTCTAAATATAGTAAATTATCTTTATTTTTCATTTCTATGATATATACAATTAATGAATCAAAATAAACTTCCTTTATCATTTATTTCCATCACTAGCATTCAATACTAATGATTAATTTGTCATGATAAAAGGATCTGTTCTGTAAGATCTCATATGATGTGATGTAACAACTTATCTTGATTGAATATTTAAGATACATTTGTATGAGAGACAGTTTGATAAGCAACTTCAGCAAAGTCTCAGGATACAAAATCAATGTACAAAAATCACAAGCATTCTTATACACCAATAACAGACAAACAGAGAGCCAAATCATGAGTGAACTCCCATTCACAATTGCTTCAAAGAGAATAAAATACTTAGGAATCCAACTTACAAGGGATGTGAAGGACCTCTTCAAGGAGAACTACAAACCACTGCTCAATGAAATAAAAGAGAATACAAACAAATGGAAGAACATTCCATGCTCATGGGTAGGAAGAATCAATATCGTGAAAATGGCCATACTGCCCAAGGTAATTTATAGATTCAATGCCATCCCCATCAAGCTATCAATGACTTTCTTCACAGAATTGGAAAAAACTACTTTAAAGTTCATATGGAACCAAAAAAGAGCCCGCATCGCCAAGTCAATCCTAAGCCAAAAGAACAAAGCTGAAGGCATCATGCTACCTGACTTCAAACTATACTACAAGGCTACAGTAACCAAAACAGTATGTTATTGGTATCAAAACAGAGATATAGATCAATGGAACAGAACAGAGCCCTCAGAAGTAACGCCACATATCTACAACTATCTGATCTTTGACAAACCTGAGAAAAACAAGCAATGGGGAAAGGATTCCCTATTTAATAAATGGTGCTGGGAAAATTGGCTAGCCATATGTAGAAAGCTGAAACTGGATCCCTTCCTTACACCTTATACAAAAATTAATTCAAGATGGATTAAAGACTTAAACATCATTAGACCTAAAACCATAAAAACCCTAGAAGAATACCTAGGCATTACCATTCAGGACATAGGCATGGGCAAGGACTTCATGTCTAAAACACCAAAAGCAATGGCAACAAAAGCCAAAATTGACAAATGGGATCTAATTAAACTAAAGAGATCTGCACAGCAAAAGAAACTACCACCAGAACGAACAGGCAACCTACAAAATGGGAGAAAATTTTCGCAACCTACTCATCTGACAAAGGGCTAATATCCAGAATCTACAATGAACTCAAACAAATTTACATGAAAAAAACAAACAACCCCATCAAAAAGTGGGCAAAGAATATGAACAGACACTTCTCAAAAGAAGACATTTATGCAGCCAAAAGACACATGAAAAAATGCTCATCATCACTGGCCATCAGAGAAATGCAAATCAAAACCACAATGAGATACCATCTCACACCAGTTAGAATGGCAATCATTAAAAAGTCAGGAAACAACAGGTGCTGGAGAGGATGTGGAGAAATAGGAACACTTTTACACTGTTGGTGGGACTGTAAACTAGTTCAACCATTGTGGAAGTCAGTGTGGTGATTCCTCAGGGATCTAGAACTAGAAATACCATTTGACCCAGCCATCCCATTACTGGGTATATACCCAAAGGACTATAAATCATGCTGCTATAAAGACACATGCACACGTATGTTTATTGCGGCACTATTCACAATAGCAAAGACTTGGAACCAACCCTAATGTCCAACAATGATAGACTGGATTAAGAAAATATGGCATATATACACCATGGAATACTATGCAGCCATAAAAATGATGAGGTCATGTCCTTTGTAGGGACATGGATGAAATTGGAAATCATCATTCTCAGTAAACTATTGCAAGGACAAAAAACCAAACACCACATGTTCTCACTCATAGATGGGAATTGAACAATGAGAACACATGGACACAGGAAGGGGAACATCACACTCTGGGAACACTTGTGGGGTGGGGGGTGGGGGGAGGGATAGCATTAGGAGATATACCTAATGCTAAATGACTAGTTGGTGGGTGCAGCACACCAGCATGGCACATGTATACATATGTAACTAACCTGCACATTGTGCACATGTACCCTAAAACTTAAAGTATAATAATAAAAAAAGGTACATTTATCTGAGAATGTTGCCAATATAATGTATTTTATGTTGACATATATATTTATTAAGCTATGGTATCTATCTATATTTTATATATATATCTCAAGCTTTTTCTCTATATAAAGATATAGTATGTACAGATACATATCTCTATATCTATCTGTATATAATCTATGTAATGTGAAGGTATATATTTCAATAACCTGAAAGTGATAAAGCTTAACATGTTGAAATGCACAAAGGAACCGCTTCTATTTTACTCAGTGTCTATTCTGCATTATTTTGTCTATGACATGTCATTTTTATAGCACATCTCTGATTTTGCCACTCCTGTATTTAAAAATATTGAAAAACTCAGGTTTGTTACAACGTATTTGGCTAGGCTGATAGTCAAAAATGTTCATCTTCTAGTCTCAATGCAGGTTTCTAAATAACTTTCTACTAAAATCCACTAAACTGAAGTAGTGAATGTCTCACACTTATCCAAAAATGTCATGGATTCACTAAATCTCTTGTGACTTTGTTTTAGGTATCTCATTTGCTTGGAATTTCTAATTCATAACTCATATTTGAACTATTTTTGTCAAAATGCAAAAAGCATTTATTCTTTAAATCCATCTTACAGTATCTCATTCATAAAGGTTGTTTTTATCCTCTAAACTAAAATAATATCCCTCATGTCAACCTCTATGCTATGTTCAGTTTCCCTTTTGCATTTATTATAAATAACATTGACGGTCATTATAAATACTCTATTTCTCTACAGTGTGTTAATCTTCTTATGGGTAGATGCAGCATCTTATTCATTGCTTTTTCTCCCATATCAACTTGTGTGCTGTTTGGCACATAGCATGGTTTCAAGAACTGAATATATTTTTTATATTATTAATCATTATTGGCTGTGGAGGTCTGGAATAATAACAATTTTATCTCCCAAGAATTTACATTCCTATGAAGAAATAAACTACTACTTAATTGCTTTAATTTTAGTTTATTAGAGTTCTTCTATTTTGTTTTGTAATCTCATTTAAACTTTCCAAAAATTGTTATAAGGACAACATTATCAACCCTGTTTTAAAATGAAGAAACTGAGGCTCCAAAAGTTTCAGTAATTAGCTAAAGGTCACACAGAATTTAAGTGGTAGAGTCAGAGAACAAATAGATTTTGAGAAAAGAAAAGGAAAAGAAATAAGAAAAGAAAACCACAACAAAAATGAGAGAAAACAAAGAAAAAAATTTATGTTACACACATGAAATTTCATTCTGGGGTTTGTTAACTACAAGTTTGTTATTCTTTTCTCAGTAACACTAAGGGGATTGTATTAGAAAAGTGGGTGCTCCTAGGCTAAGAGTAATGGACTGTCTACAATATACCAGGTATGGTGCCAGTCATTTACATTTAATACCAAATATAGCCCTATAAGGTAGAAATTAAGTTTTCTCAACTTTCATTTTAGATATAATGAGTCTATGTACAGATATGTTACATGGGAATGTTATATGATGCTGAGGTTTGGAGTGTGGGTCTCATCACCTAGGTAGTGATCATAGTACCCAATAGGTGGTTTTTAACCAGGAAACCCCTCCCTCCACCCTCTAGTATTCCACAGTGTCTGGTTTTCCCATAATTTTGTCCATGTGTGTTCCATGTTTAGCTCCCACTTATAAGTAAGAACATGCAGTATTTGGTTTTCTGTTCTTAATTTGTTTAAGATTATGGCTTCCAGCTCTATCCAAGTTGCCACAAAATACATGATTTCAACCTTTTTTTGTGGCTGCATAGTATTCCATGGTGTATATGGACCACATTTTCTTTATCCAACCTGTCATTGATGGGCACCCAGGTTGAGTCCATGTCTGCTATTGTGAATAGCAAAACAATGAACATAAGAGAATACGTGTCTTTTTGATAGAATGATTTATTTTATCTTCGGTATATACCCAATAATGGAATTGCTGGATCAAATGGTAGCTCTAAGTTTTTTAAGAAATCTCTAGATGTTTTCCCACAGTGACTGGACTAATTTACTTTCCCACCAACATGGTATATTTGTTCCCATTTTTCCACAGCCCGGCCAGAGTGTTGTTTCTTGACTTTTTATCAGTGGCCATTCTGACTGATGTGAGATGGTATCTTATTGTGCTTTCGATTTAAATTTCTAATAATTAGTGATGTTGAGCACTTTTTTGTTTGTTTGTTTGTTGGCCACTTGCATATCTTCTTTTGAGGAATGTCTCTTCATGTCTTTTGCCCATTTAAAAAAAAGTGGGGTTATTTGTTTTTTGCTTTCGGATTTGTTTGAGTTTCTCATGGATTCTGGATATTAGACATTTGTTAGATACATAGTTTGCAAATATTTTCTCCCATTCTGTAGGTTGTCTGTTTACTCTGTCGATGGTTTCTTTTGCTGTTCAGAAGCTCTTCAGTTTAACTGTATCCCTTTTGTAAATTTCTGTTTTTGTTGCAATTGCTTTTGAAGACTCAGCCATAAATTCTTTGGCAAGGAAAATATGAAAAGGAGTATTTCCTAGGTTGTTTTTCAGGATTTTTATAGTTTGAGGCCCTTCATTTAAGCCATTTTGAGTTAATTTTTGTATATGGTAAAACATGGAGATCTAGTTTCAATCTTCTGTATATGGCTAGCCAGTTATCCCAGTACCATTTATTGAATAGGATGTCTGTTCCCCATTGCTTCTCTTGCTCAGTCTCACTAAAGATCAGATGGCTGCAGGTGTTCAGCTTTATTTCTGAGTTTTCTATTCTTTTCCATTGGTCTATGTGTCCATTTTTGTATCGGCACCAAGCTGTTTTGGTTACTGTGGCTTTCTAGTATAGTTTGAAGATGGGTAGTGTGATGCCTCCAGCTTTGTACTTTTTGCTTGGGATTGTTTTGGATATTAGGGCTGTTTTTTGGCTTTATATTCATTTTAGATTAGTTTTCTAATCCTGTGAAAAATGATGTTGATTGTTTGATAGGAATAGTATTAAATCTGTACATTTCTTTGGGCTATATGGCCATTTTTATAATATTGATTTTTCTAATTTGTGAGCATGGAATGTTTTTCCATTTAGTTTTGTTATCTTTGAATTCATTCAGCAGTGTTTTGCACTTCTCTTTGTAGAGATCTTTCACCTAATTAGCTGAATTTTTCCGTATTTCATTTTGTTTGTGGCTATTGTAAGTGAGATTGTGTTCTTGATTTCACTTTTAGTCTGGATGTTGCCAGTAGAAAGAAATGCTACGAATTTTTGTACATTAATTTTATATCCAGAAACTTTACTAAAGTTGTTTATTAGTTCTGGGATCTTTTTGGCAGAGCGTTTAGGATTTTTTAGGTACAGAGTCACATTGTCTGCAAAGAGAGATAGTTTCACTTTTTCTTTTAATATTCAGGTGCATTTTATTTCTTTCCTTGCTTGATTGTTCTGCTTAGGACTTCCAATACTATACTGAACAGCAGGAATGAGAGTAGGCATCCCTGTCTTGCTCCAGTTCTCAAGAGAAAAGCTTCCAGTTTTTGCTCATTTAGTATGATGTTGGCCGTGAGTTTGTTGTGGATGGTTATTATTGTTTTGAGGTATGTTCATTCAATGCCTAGTTTTTGAGGGTTTATATCATAAGTGGATTTTGATTTTTACTGAAAGCTTTTACTCTGTCAATTGAGATAATCCATATGATTTTTAATTCTGTTTGTATGGTTAAACACATTTATTGATTTGCACCTGTTGAATCAGACTTGCGTCCCAGAAATAAGCCCACCTGATTGTGTTGTGTTAACTTTTTGATGTGCTGTTGCATTCAATTTGCTGGTATTTTATTGTGAATTTTGTGCATATTTTCATGAGGCATATTGGTGTAAAATTTTAATTTTTCATTGTGCAGGATTTTGGTATCAGGCCGATGCTGCCTTCATAGAATGAGTTAACGAGGAGAACCTCTTCCTCAATTTTTTGGAATAGTTTCAGTAGGATTGGTGTCAGATCATTCTATGTCTGATAGGATTCATCTGTGAATTCATCTGTTACTGGGGTTTTTATTTGGTTGGTAGGTTATTTATTACTGATTCAATTTTAGAAGTTTTCATTGGTCTATTTGGAGTTTAATCTCTTCCTTATTCAATTTTATAAGATTGTGCACTTCCAAGAATGTATCCATTTCCTTTAGATTTTTTAATTTGTGTGCATAGAGTTGTTCGTAGTAGTCTCTGAGTATCTTTTGTATTTCTATGGGATCAGTTTTATTATCACCTTCGTCATTTCTTATTGTGCTTATTTGGATCTTCTCTTTCATGTTCTTTATTAATCTAGCTAAGGGCCTATCAATGTTTTTTATTTTTTTGAAGAAACGATTATTGGTTTCATTGATATTTTTAATGAATTTTTGCATCTCAATTTCATTTAGTTCTTATCTAATTTTAGTTATTTCTTTTATTCTGGTAGCTTTGGGGTTGATTTGTTCATTTTTCTGTAGTTTCTTTAGGTGCAAAGTTAGACTATTAATTTGAGATCTTTCTAACATCTTGATGAATGCATTTAGAGATATAAACTTTCCTTTTAACACTACTTGGCCTGCATCTCAGAGATTTTGGTAAGTTGTGTGCTTATTTTTATTAATTTCAAGGAAGTTTTGTATTTAAGTTTAAATTTCAATGTTCCCTAAGTAGATATTCATGAATAACTTGTTTAATTTTCATGCATTTTTATAGTTTTGAGAGATCTTATTTATATTGATGTATATTTTTATTGCACTGGGATGCAAGAGTGTGCTTGATATGATTTCAATTTGTTTTGCATTTATTCAGGCTTGCTTTATGACTGAGTAGGTGGCGAATATTAGACTATATTCTGTGTGCAGATAAGATGAATGTATATTCTGCGGCTGTTGGGTAGAGTTTCTATAGGTGTTTATTAGGTCCAATTGGTCAAGTGTCAAGTTTAAGTCCAGAGTTTCTTTGTTAGATTTTTGCCACAATTATTTATTGTAATCCTATCACTGTGGTGTTAAAATCTTCCACTATTATAGTTTGGTTGTCTGTTTTTTGTTTTTTTTTTTCATACACCAAGAAGTTGTTTTATGAATCTGTGTTCTCCAATGTTTGGTGTATATACACTAAAGATCGTTAAAGTTTCTTGCTGGATTGTACTATTTATCATTATGTAATGCCCTTCATGATCCTTCTTAATTTTTATTAGTTTAAATTCTGTTTTATCTGACATAAGAATAGCTCTTTTTTTGTTTTCTATTTGCATGATATATCTTACTCCACAATTTTACTTGTAGCCTGTGAGTTTCTTTACATGTGAGAAGGGTCTCTTAAAAACAACAGATGGTTGGTTCTTGTATTTTTATTCAGTTTCCCACTCTATGTTTTTAAGTGAGGCGTTCAGTTCATTTAAATTGAAGGTTAGTGTGATATGTGTGATTGTGATCCTGTCATTGTGTTGTTAGCTGGTTGCTATGTAGACTTTATTACACAGTTACTTTATAATGTATGTGGGCTGTGTGCTTAAGTGTGTCTTTGTTGTTGTTGTTCTTTTTAATCTATGTTTAGCACTCCTTTAAGGACCTTTTATGAGGCTATTCTTATTTGAAATTGTATTTCCTCAGCATTTGCTTGTCAGAGAAAGCTTTTATTTCTCCTTCACTTATGAAGCTTAGTTTGGCAGGATATGAAATACTTGGGTGGAATTTCTTTTCTTTAAGGGCACTGAAGCTAGGCCCCCAATCTTTTCTGGCTTATAAGGTTTCTGCTGAGAGATCTGATGGTAGCCATATGGAGTTCTGTCTGTATATAACCTGACCCTTCTCTCTAGCTGCCTTTAAGATCTTTTTCTTTGCATTGACCTTGGTGAACTTGATGACTATGTGCCTTTGGGAGGGTCATCTTTTACAGTTTCTGGTTGAGGCTCTCTGTATTTCTTGGACTTGCATGCCAAGCTCTCTATCAGGTTTATGAAAATTTTTATGTACTATTCTCCCACATATATTTTCCAGGCTTCTTATTCTCTCTTCTTCTCTCTCAGGAATGCCAATGAATCATAGATTTTATCTCTTTACATAATCCATTATTTATCAGAGGTTTTGTTCAATTTTCTTCATTCTTTACTTTTGTCTTACTGAGCTGATTTAAAGAACCGGTCGTCAAGCTCTGAGCATTTTTTCTTAGCTTGATCTACTCTTCCTTTAATAACACTGATTGTATTATACAATTCTTTTAGTGATTTTTTTAACCCAAGAAGTTCAGTTTGGGTCTTTTATAAAATGAGTATTTCATCTTTCAAATACTGAATTGTTTTAATGAATTACTTGGCTTTTTTGGATAGAGTTTTGTATTAGGGTTCTCTAGAGGGACAAAATTAATAAGATATATATATACATCCTTATATAGAGATATATAATATATATAATATATAGATATAGGAGAGATCCTATATCTATATATATCGATATATATTATATATCAATATATAGATATAAGATATATATATCGATATATATAGATATAGGATCTATCCTATATATATAGATATAAGATATATATATCTATATATATGAGATATTATTAAGTATTAACTCATACGATCACAAGGTCCCACAATAGGCCATCTGCAAACTGAGGAGCAAGTAATGCCAATCCAAGTCCCAAAACTGAAGAACTTCGGGTCCAATGTTTGAGAGAAGGAAGCATCCAGCACTGGAGAAAGATGTAGGCTGGGAGGTTAGGCCAGTCTAGTCTTTTCACATTTTTCTGCCTGCTTTATATTCCAGCTGCCCTGGCAGCTAATTAGAAGGTGTCCACCCAGACTAAGGGTGGGGGTACTTTTCCCAGCCCACTGACTCAAATGTTAATCTCCTTTGGCAAAACCCTCACGAACACACGCAGGATCAATACTTTGCATCCTTCAATCCAAACAAGTTGACACTCAGTATTAACAATCACAAGTTCATCCCTTGTCAACTTGAAACCATACACGTTATGGTCATATTTATGCCTAACATAATATATTTATCCTTCATACAACTGGAAATGCACCAATCCCCAACCCAAATGCTATTACATAAAGTTAACAATACTTAAATGCTGATATGAAGTTAATAAATCTTATGTCACATGATAAAGGAGAAAGGAAACAAAAAGGAAAATATTTTCTTAGTAGAAGTGCATACATTCACAAACATGTTTTTAACAAAAGAAAGAGAAAATAGTCATGAAAATCAGAGTCCCCATTTCTGCAGCTGGTCATGTAACAGTAACTGGTATTGATGACTAACTTCTTCTACTGTCCATTCTGTATTCCTTTTGCCTTCAGCAAGCACCTCAGCAGGTCATGGTTTTTTTCCTGGTGGAGTGACCCAAACCTTCATTCCTAAAGGGTCTGGGCTATTAGTAGTTCTCCCTGGATTGGGCTGTTGTAGTTTCCCATTGAGCTTAACCATAGAGCATGTTAACACCAACAGATGCCCTAATAGATCTCCTGTATTCCATGTATACTCTTCCTTACCTCCCTTGTGGAGTAGTAGACTGGTTTCACCTTGATATTCTGGGTCATTTACCCCAGCCAACACTGTAACTCCCTTCTTAGCCTTTTGACTTAAAGGTAGGGGGAGCCCAGAGTGTCCAGGTGGCAATCTTAACTTCCAGTTTAATGGAATCATTGTTGTTTCTTTTGGTGGCAGAATACCTCCCTCTGGAGCTAAGACCTCTGGGTCAGCAGAATGTAATGTCACAGGAACAGGAAGCAAAAATTTTGCTAGTGAGTCACTAGGGGTCATAGTGAGTGGTGCCCCTTCCACTTCCACCCCTTGATTCCTGGACTCACGAATCCTTGCTATGGGAGAAATAATACCATGTATTGGATGCTGATTCAGAGCATACAGGGCCTTCTGGAGAACTTTGCCCCAGCCCTGCAAAGTATTGTCACCTAGTTGGCATTGTAATTGTGACTTCAAAAGGCCATTCCACCGTTCTATCAATCTAGCTGTCTCAGGATGATGGCACACGGTAAGATCAGTGGATTCCTCAAGCGTGAGTCCATTGTTGCACTTCTTTAGATGTAAAGTGCATGCCTTGATCAGAGGCAATGTTGTGTGGAATACCATGATGGTGGATAATGCATGCCGTGAGTCCACAGACGGTAGTCTTGGCAGAAGCATTGTGTGCAGGATAGGCAAATCCATATCCAGAATAAGTGTCCATTCCAGTGGGGACAAACCTCTGCCCTTTCTATTATGGAAGAGGTCCAATATAATCAACCTGCCACCAGGTAGCTGGCTGATCACCCTGAGGAATCGTGCCATATCCAGGGCTCAGTGTTGGTGTCTGCTGCTGACAAACTGGGCACTTGGCCATAGCCAGGTCAGCCTGGGTAACTGGAAGTCCATGTGGCTGAGCCCATGTATAACCTCCATCCCTGCCACCATGGCCACTTTATTCATGTGCCCATTGGGCAATACAGGGGTGGCTGGGTAAAGAGGCTGAGTGATGTCCACAGAATGGGTCATCCTATCCAATTAATTATGAAAATCTTCCTCTGCTGAGATCACCCATTGGTGAGCACTCATATGGATACAAATGTCTTCAGTTTTTGACCACTCAGAAAGGTCCATCCACATAATTCTTACCCAAATTTCTTTGCCAACAATTTTCCAAGATTGCTTCTTTCAAGTCCCTGGCCATCCAGTCAAACCAATGGCTAGAGCCCATGAGTCAGTATATAATCACACATCTGGCCATTTCTCCTTCCATGAAAAGTGCACAACCAGCTGCACTGCTTGAAATTCTGCTCACTGGGAAGATTTCCCTTCACCGCTGTCCTTCAGGCAAGTCCTAGAAAGGGGCTGTAGTGCTGCAGCTGTCCACTTTCTGGTGGTACCTGCATATCATGCAGAACCATTTGTGAACCAGGCCCTAGTCTTCTCTTGCTCTTTCAACTGATCATAGGGAACTCCTCATGAGGCCATCGGTGCAGGCTGAGGGAGAGAAGGCAGGGCGGCATAAGTGGAAAACATGGGCATTTGAGCCACTTCCTCATATAACTTGTGCCTTCAGGATCTGCCAGAGCCCAATCACATATATACTACTTCCATTTGATGATAGAATGCTGCTGTGCATGACCCACTTTATGGTTTGATGGGTCAGAAAGCACCAAGTTCGTTTCAGGCAGTTCAGGTCTCATGGTGACTTGATGGCCCATAGTCAAACATTCAGTTTCCACCAAAGCCCAGTAACAGGCCAAGAGCTGTCTCTCAAAAGGAGAGTAGTTATCTGCAGAAGATTTCAGGGCCTTGCTTCAAAATCCTAGAGGCCTCTGCTGTGATTCACCTATGGAGGAATGCCAGAGGCTCGAAACAGCCTCTCTATCTGCCACTGATACCCCAAGCACCATTGAATCTGCAGAGTCACATGGCTCAAGTGGCAGAGCAGCTTGCATGGCAGCCTGGACCTGTTGCAGAGCCTTCTCCTATTCTGGACCTCACTCAAAACTGGCAGCCTTTCAGGTCACTCAATAAATGGGCTGGAGTAACACACCCAACTGAGGAATCTGTTACCTCCAAAATCCAAATAAGCCCACTCAGCTTTGTATCTTTCTTGGTTGTAGGAGGGGCCAAATACAGCAACTTATCCTTCACCTTAGAAATAATATCTTGACAGGCCCCACACATTTTACTGAGGTCAAAGGTCCCTGAAATTTAGTCAAATCTGTTTCCCATTCTCTTCCACGCAAATATCTCACCAATAAGTCCAGTGTGCTAGCTACTTCTTGTGCACTGGACCCAATCAGCATAATGTCATCAATATAAGGTACCAGTGTGATATCTTGTGAAAGTGAAAAGCAATGAAGGTCTCTCCAAATAAGATTATGACACAAAGTCAGAGAGTTTTTATACCTGTGAGGTAGGACAGTAAAGGTATATTGCTGGCCTTGCCAGCTGAAGGTAAATTGCTTCTGGTGGGACTTATAGACAGGCATGGAGAAAAACACATTTGTCAAGTCAATGGCTGCATATCAGGTACCAGGAGATGGGTTAATTTGCTCAAACAATGAAACCACATCTGGTACAGCAACTGCAATTGAATTCAGCACTTGGTTAAGCTTATGATAATTCACTGTCATTCTCCAGGATCCATCTGTCTTCTGCACAAAGCAAATGGGAGAGTTGAACAGGGATGTGGTGGGAATCACCACTCCTGCATCTTCCAAGTCCTTGATGGTGGTACTTATCTCCACAATCCCTCTGGGGATGAAATATTGTTTTTGTTTTACTATTTTGTGAGGTAGAGGCAGCTCTAATGGCTTCAATTTGACCTTTCCCACTATAATAGCCCTCACCTTACCAGTCAGAGAGCCAATGTGGGGGTTCTGACAGCTGCTAAGTATGTCTATTCCAATTATGCATTCTGGCACTGGGGAAATGACCACAGGATGAGTCTGTGTACCTACTGGACCTACTGTAAGTTGAACCTGAGCTAAAACTCCATTAACTACCTGACATCCATAAGCCCTTACTTTAACTGAAGAACCACAATGATGTTTTGGGTCTCCTGGAATTTATGTTAGCTCAGAGTCAGTGTCCAGTAGTCCCTAAAATGTCTGATCATTTTCCTTTCCCCAGTGCACAGTTACCCTGGTAAAAGGCCAGAGGTCTCCTTGGGGAAAGATGGGAGAAACATTAACAGCATAAATTGTCGGTAGTGTAGTGGGGTCCTTCTTCAAGGGGACCTGGCTTCTCCTTCATTCAGGGGGTTCTGGGTGTGTAAACTGGCTCAAGTCTGGAAATTCATTGAGGGGCCATGAATCTTTTTTATAATTCAAGTCAGTCTTTTGTGTATTTGACCTAGATGTTTTCTGCTTATATAAGTTAACTAGGAATTCAGTAGGCTTCCTATCAATTTCACTTCTAGGAACACCGTGATTAATTAGCCAATCCCAGAGCTCTACATGAGTAAGACTATTCTAATTGCTTCTTTGCCTCTGCTGTCCATTATGGTAGCTACACCCACCTTGCCTTTGATGGTTGAGTGCTGCCGCTTTGTCCCTGCAGCCTTGTGATCCAATTATTTCCATTGTGTTTAAATTTTGTAGTTGAGTTACTGTTCTTCTTGTTGTTAGATCTGACATACAGAGAGGAATGATTACATGCCCTTTGGTGATGCAGGTGCTGCCCTCACGAATCTATTTTGCAAGGCATTGGTCAAGGGTACATCTTCTGGACCCTCCCTATTGGAATGAGTAGGTCTAAAGTGACTAATCCACCATCCCAATCTCCCTAAGCCTTTGGATCCCTTCCTTTACATTAAACCAAGGGAGAAAATCAGGCATTTTCAGCTCGCTCACAGTGGGCTACCTTTAAATCCACATTTCAGCTAACCAAGCAAATAAACTATTAGAAGCTTTTTCAACTCCTTGAGCTGCAAAATTAAATGCAGAATCCCTACTTAGTGGGCCCAAATCAAGAAATTCAGCCTGATTCAACTCTATGTTCCTTCTACCATTATCCCACACCCTCAATGTCTATTCCCATGCCTGTTCTCCAGATTTCTCTTTATATAAATTAGAAAACTCAAGCAATTCTTTTTGTGTGCAGTGCACCTCCTCATGGGTAACACTCTGAACCTCACCTTTAGGGGCTTACCGGGACTTTAGTCTAGTTATAGGTCTAGAAGCAAACAGGGGTGTTTGGGGTGGCTCCTGAGGAGAATCAACATTATCTGGTCTGGCCACTGGCTCAGGGGAGACCATCACTGCTGCTTCAGGCAGTTCAGGGTTTATCTCCTCAAAGTTGGAAACACTGATGACAGCATGGATGGGGTGGGGGCGGGGGTGGATGTTGCCACTACTGCGGATGGGTAAGCTGTTCCTTCTGGCAAAAAAGCTTCATGAAAGTTTACAAACTCGGTGTCCCCCACTTCGTCAGTGTCCTCCCACACGTTCCCATTCCATGTTGCAGGGTCCCATTCTTTTTCAGTCAATGCCCTCAATTTAACAGTAGACACATGGCAAGGTTTTGCATGCACCTTTTGCTGCAGGTCAGCCACTCGCATGATAAGAGCTTGTGTCTGTTTTTTCACAATTTCAGCTCTTTCTCTACAGGAGTTAAGACTCTCACTCAGGGTAATCTTAGCAGATTTGAGGCTAAGTATCTGCTTCTGAAGCCAGGAGTTAGAAACTCTGAGCTCATCATTTTCTTTCATCATTTTGTACACTGAATTTAGGAGCAATTAACCAGTTTCATTATGTTCCTTGATTCTCCACATACGGTCAAAGATATTACGTATAGAGTCACTAAACTCTTTGCTTCTCATGAGCAGTGAATCAGGAGTGCCAAATGCATTTATTTTGCATAACTCTCTAGACAGTTCACATCAAGGACTATCAGTGTTCTCCATACTATGAGAAATACAGTCCTTAGTATTTTGGGGTCTAATCATCTTAAGCAGCCAACTCTAGGAAACCCAAAACCAATGAAAGAAGTCCATACTTAATATTCTGTTCCTCTAGAAACACTCCTGGTACCAAAATCTGTAATTAGTTAGGGTTCTCTAGAGGGACAGAGCTAATAGGTTTTATATCTATATATATATATATATATACATATATGGGAGTTTATTAAGTATTAACTCACACAATCACAATCACAATCCCACAATATACCGACTGCAAGCTGAGGAGCAAGGAAAGTCAGCCTGAGTCTCAAAACTGAATAACTTGGAGTCTGATATTTGAGGGCAGGAAGGGTCCAGCACTGGAGAAAGATGTAGATTGGGAGGCTAGGCCAGTCTAGTCTTTTCACGTTTTTCTGCCTGATTTATATTCTAGCCACACTGGCAGCTGATTAGAGGGTGCCCACCCGGATTAAGAGTTGGTGTGCCTTCCCGGCCTGCTGACTCAAATGTTAATTTCCTTTGGCAATACCCTCACAGACCCACCCAAGATCAATACTTTTCATCCTTCAATCCAATCAAGTTGACACTCAGTATTAACCATCACAAGTTTCAACTCTCTACTTGATGTTGATAAGCATCCTTGTCATCAAGAGTCTGATTTTTTTTTTTTTTTTTTTTTGAGACGGAGTCTCGCTCTGTCGCCCAGGCTGGAGTGCAGTGGTGCGATCTCAGCTCACTACAAGTTCCACCTCCTGGGTTCACGCCATTCTCCTGCCTCAGCCTCCCAAGTAGGTGGGACTACAGGCGCCCGCCACCATGTCCAGCTAATTTTTGTATTTTTAGTAGAGACAGGTTTTCACCCTGTTAGCCAGGATGGTCTCAATCTCCTGACCTCATGATCCACCCGCCTTGGCCTCCCAAAGTGCTGGGATTACAGGTGTGAGCCACTGTGCCTGACCCAACAGTCGGATTTTTATGTCTATCATTTCAGACAATTTAGACTAGTTAAGAAACATTGCTCTGGATCTAGTGGGTTTATTTGGAGGTAAGGGGACAACCTGTTTGTTTGTTTGTTTGTTTGTTTGTTTGTTTTTTGCCAGAGTTCTTGCATTGTTTTTTCTCGTCGGGCAGGGTAGTATTGCCTTAATTGTGGTGTAAATTGAGTATACTCAGTTGGTTTCATTTCTGGAAGTTTTCACAGAGCTAAGACTCTGCAGGGTCTTTGTTATTGAATTTTTGCTCTCGGTTTCACAGTGTGTCATAATTATTAGTAATTTTTGATGTTCTAGTTTTGGCAGCAATCCAGTGTATGGCTCTTGGGAGCAATGGGAAATAGATAGGCTCTTACCCAGCCATGATGTTTCATTGCGTATCTTTATATTTTCAGCTCTGTTATGTGGTGTAAGGGCTAGAGAGGTGACCCCCTCACCAGGTTTCCTTGTGGGCCTTTGGAAAGCCGTCTCAAATCACAGGCACTGTGCTTGCAATTTTATTGTTGTTATGTTTTTCAGGACACGGGACTTTCTTGGAGAGAGGTGTGGTAGGAAAATAAGCCACACTCTTACCAGAATAGCCCTGTGGAGAGTGGCATGTAAAGATCTCATGCCAGGTCATAAATTTGTGCGACTCAGCATTCAGTTTTCTGGGAGTGTGGGCTTCTCCTCCATTCAAGTGTCAAGCACAGTGGGGGCGGGGAGGGGGGAAGCAGGGTGGAGTCTTCCTGTTGCCCAGGCTAGAGTGCAGTGGCACAATCTCGACTCACTGCAACCTCTGCCTCCCGGTCTCAAGTGATTCTCCAACCTCAGTCTCCCTGGTGGCTGGGCTTGCAGGCGAGCGCCACCATGCCCAGCTAATTTTTGTATTTTTAGTAGAGACAGGGTTTCCCCAGGCTGGCCAGGCTGGTCTCACACTCCTTACTTCACTTGATCAACCCGCCTTGGCCTCCCAAAGTGCTGGGATTATAGTCATGAACCACCGTGCCTGGACCTAACTCAGCACGTTTGAGCTGCAGGCCACAGCCCTGGGGTGTCAGGACCTGCTTGCAACTTACTCCCCCATATGCTTGGGGTTAGATTCTAAATGCAGTGGGGAGATCCAAAGGGCTCCCAGGCTACCAGAATGCACTCGGGTGGAGAAAGCAACCAGGCTGAGCAGTGGAGTCTCTATTGCATACACACCCCAATGGGGCAGCAAGACAGAATTTCTGGGAGGGTCTAGTGAGAGGATGGGCCTAAAAGACAGATGTTCCCCAGTCCTGTGTGGAAACAGGCCCTGCTTTTTCCTAGGCAGTTTTAGCTGTGCCCAGGACCTCTCAGAGTAAGATGTGCAGCCCTGGGGTGTGGGAGCTTATGGCGAACCTCCGCCAGAGCTGACCCAAACTCAAACATCTCTGGCTTCTCACCTGCTGCAGCTCCACCTCAATATAATCTCTGGGGAGATCCGCTGTCAACTTGTCTATGGGGCTGTGGGTTCCCCTGCACTGAGTATCCCAGAGGTACAAAGTGAGGATGAGGAGCCCCCATTCCCTTCACTCATCCCTTCCCAGGCATCATTTGGGACTGGGAACAAGTCATAGCACTCAGACACCCCATGCGGGGTTCCCAACTTCCTTCCTCTTCAGCCTCAGCGTCCACACCTTTTCTCCATCCACATTTGACATTTTCAGTTCAAGATCTGTTCAAATTGTGTTGGTGTAATAAAAATTGTGGTCTCTCTCTGTGGGATTGGCACTTCCCAGCTGCATCTAGTTAGCTGTCTTTCCCGGATCCTCTAGAATTCGTGATACAAAAATAATTTGTATTAAGATATAGAATGTACGCAGGGAGGAAAAGAGGAGTGAATAACTATCAAGAAATTTCCAAGAGAATGCTAAAATTAAAATCAAAACAAAATACACAAAATTATGCTCATAATATCATTGAATTTGGTATATGTCATGTTAAATTTGGACTCCATTAATTTTTAAAATACTAAAACGTCTAAAATATAGGGCCCATTATTCTGATAGATAAGTTTTTTGGCAGTGATCATGAGAAGATATAAGTGAAATGATATTATAAGCCTACTTCTTCTCAGATATTTCCAAACTTATAAATGGTCAGAATCTAAATGTACTCACTTTAAACATCATATTCATATACAGATATTCCTTAATTTATGATGAGGTTATGTCCTAATAAACTCATCATAAGATGAAAATATCAGAGGTCAAACATGCATTTAATACCCTGATAAACCCATCATAAAATGAAAAAATTATAAATTGAACCATTATAAGTTTAGAACCATGTGTGAGTTAATCAGGGTTCTCAAGAGGGACAGAAACAATAATACATATATATTATAAAAGGAAGTTTATTAGGGAGAATTGGCTTACACAATAGGCTCTCTGCAAACTAGGGAAATAGGGAAGCTGGTAGTGGCTCAGTCCAAATCCAAAAGCTTCAAAACTAGGGAAGCTAACAGTGTATATCTCAGTCTGAGAGTCCCTGGGAGGCCACTGGTGCAAATTTTGGAGTTCAAAACCTGAAGAACGAGGAGTCTGATGTACAAGAGCAGGAGGAAAGAAAGCAAAGCATCCATCAAAGGCAAAGAGAGAGTTTGAGAAGACTCAGCATGCTCTTTATCCCATTTTCACCATCTGCTTTGTTCTATTTGCACTGGATGCTTCCCACCCACATTGAGGGTGTCTTCGTCTCCCAGGTGTCAGTCAATCTACTCTGGCAACACCCAGACACACCCGGAAAGATTACTTTGTCAACCATATAGGCATCCTTCAATCCAGTCAAGTTAACAACCAATAATAACCATCACAATCTGTATATCCTGATATTCTCAAATCTCAATATTTACATTAAAATTATAAATTCAATCATCCATGTGTCAAATGGATCTTGAAACATATGAATAATTGTGACAATATTTTCTATAGTGAATGTTTTTCAATGTGACATTGCCATTTTTTTCCATTGAGAACAAGAGTCTATTTTATCCTTTCCTAAAATAATGTGACATTTGCATTCCTCCCATTAAGAAGTGGTGTCTACTTATTCTTCTCCTTAAAACTGGGTTGCTCCTATGACTTACTTTGCCTGATGGATTGTTAGGGAAGTGATGTCGTGCCTATTCTGAGTCTATACTTCATAAGAGCTTAACACTTCTGTTTTTAACATTTTGTGACTCTGAGACAAAAGGCTATAAAAATCTTAGGATAGTAGGCCACATGTAATGAGATGTCAAGACATCCCAATTATACCAGGTATCCCAGTTGAGTCTATAGACATATGAGGGAGGTCATCTTAAATCATCTGGCACTAGATAATCTGCCATCTGACTGTATGCATGAGAATGAGGCCAGGCAACTCTAGAAGAACCACTCAGTCAACATGTGAAACCTTGAGAAATAATAAGTGATTGTTGCATTAAAATACTAAGTTTTGGGGTACTTTGTTATTGAGTAATAGATAATTTATACTAATTGCCACCTAAGACTTCATGTAAGTCTAAGTCTGTAAAATAATATTTTTCTTAAATAAAATCTAAGATAATTGATCAGGTTGCTTTTATGGCCTGGCTATGAGAATATAACATATGCACTTAACTTGGTATAAAGAATAGCCATAAAAACATCCTTTTTTTAGTATATTATTATTGACATGTATAATTTGGTCTAAATGTCCATTTAAGCTTCCTTCTAGTATGCTGAGGCTAGACAACTAATGACTCTATATCCAGACCCCTTTTACACTAAAGTTATAGAAGTAAATTTGATACTGACTGTTACGTGTTGCCTGAAAAATTTAGAAGAGGAAGATGAATCAGGGGACATTTACATACTGCTTTGGTGATTGCTGCTGGCAATCAAATTCTTGAAGTGTTAAATCTCTCTGTCTCTCTCTCTCTCTCTCTCTCTCTCCGTGTGTGTGTGTGTGTGTGTGTGTGTGTTCTGCCATCCAGTTTCTACTCAACAGCTCATGAGTGTTGAGAGACAGTTATGGTGGGTAGTGATAGCTGTTCACTTCCTGTATTAGTGCTGAATGAGTATTATAATGAAGTTAACCATTCTATAAAGAGCTTCTTGACTCCCCCACTTTCATGACACACATGAGTGTGTCAGAGGTAGCAGCTCCCTGAAAGACAGTTGGTGCTTTTGTTCTTGGCATTATTTTTTTGTAAAGCCCACTGTTGAATCTCCTGCAGAAGGTTTGTAGTTACCTAGATTCCACATAGGAGAATAATTGGTATTTGTCTTTATGTGCATGGCTTCTTTCACTTAGGATCATATCCTCTGTGTCCACCCGCATTGTTGCAAATGAAAGAATTTTCTTTTTAATGGCTAATAATATTCCACCCTGTATATACATTGCATTTTTTTTTATCTATTTGTTTACTGATAGCAACTTGGGTTGATTTTATATTTTGGATATTGTGAATAATGTTGCAATAAACATGGGAGTGTAGATGTTTCTTCAACATGTTAATTTCAATTCTTTTGGCTATATATCCAGTAGTGTAATTGCTGCATCATATGGTAATACTATTTTTTCGTTTTTTTGAAGAAAATCTGTACTGTTTTTCATAAAGGCTGTATAATTTGCATTCCTAAAAGCAGTGTACAGAGTTTTCTTTCCTCTGATACTCACCAACACTGGTTACCTTTTACTTTTTTTTTATAATAGCCATTCTAACAGGTATGAAGTAATACCTCATTATGGTTTTAATTTTCTTTTCCTAATGACTAATGATATCAAACAATTTCTCATATGTCTGTTAGCTGGGTGTGGCTTCTCTTGATTGCTTATAGTAAAATGTGTGAAGAGAGGAATGATTGGATGGGATTTGTAATCAATAAGAAAGCATAGCTTAAAATATTTGGAAGATTTTCATCCTCTCCATGTTGTAAAAAACGACAAATCATGTTTTGGAGAGACCCCCCAAGGCTATAACCAAGTTCCCGTTTTATAAGGTGACTAATATGGATGAGTTGAAGCTGGGTGTTATTCAACAAAGCAATGGAAGAATGGCCTTGAAGGCATTTTCAAGATCACTGATTGCCATTTCCATCAGTTTCAGAGTGCCAAGGCTGACGGACAGAACTATGTCAAAAGAGGAGCTTCAGTAGGACCTCAGCACTAGTTGTTCAATACTACATCAAGTCCCTTCTCCCCACATGCTGGCTCAGCACTCTACCCCAGGTATGACTCCAGTGGGCTTTGGTGTGGTATAAGCCATAGTAGCCCCTCCTCTCGAGGGTAAAATGGTTAACTTTGGTGACATCCATCCAATGTTATCTCCACCAGAATGTAGAATTGCAGGAGCTGTAAGGTCATGGTTGCCTCCACCTAGATTTCAAAAGATGCCCCAGAGAGTCTTGTGGCCCAAGCAGAGAACTGTCACAGGGGTGGTGCCACTATAGAGAAGCCCCAGTAAGGCAATTCCAAGTACAGTGATGGGGGTGGGGCTACCAGAGAACCTCCTCCTATAGAAATGCCTAGTGGAGCTGTGGCTGCCTGTGGGATCTCAAACTAGTAGTGACACTAACATGCAACCCCAGCCTAGAAGAGCTACAGGCACACAACTCCAACCCATGAGTACTGCCATGGGGAGCTGCTATGACAGCCTTTGGGGCCCAATCCCTACCCCAGTGTGTCCAGAAGGAAGGACATAAAGTAAAAAAGATAATTCTCAATAATTAATATTTAATATTGTTTTACTTTGTGATTTTGGACTTAAGTCCTGTTGCCCCCTTACTTATTTTCTATTTCTCCCTTTTGGAATGAGAATGTCTATCCTGTGCCATTTCTGTATGAAATTTTGGAAGCACATAACTTGTTTGAGTTCACAGGCTCACAGGTGGATGGGGATTTGCCTCAGGATGTCTGGAGGGGAATTGTATCTTGGGTCTCAACCCTATCCAATTTAGATGGATTTAGGCAAGACTATGAACTTTGGAATTTTGAGTTGATGCCAGAATGAGCTAAAACTTCTGTAATTTGGGGTATAACAATGAATGTAATTTGCATGTGAGTAGGGCACAAATTTTGTGGGGCCAGAGCCAGAATGCTATGATCTGAATATTTGTGTTCCTCCCAAATTTATACGTTGGAACATAATTCCCAAGGTTATAGTAGTAATAGGTAAGAACTTTGGTGGGTGATTAGGTCAGCAGGGCTCTGTTCTTATAAATGTGATTAGTACCTTTATTAAAAAATACTGATGGAGATTGTTTGCTCCTTCTTCCATGTGAAGATGTAGTAAGAATGCACCATCTATGAAGCAGAGATTATGCTCTCACCAGATACCAAATCTGCCTTGATCTTAAACTTCCCAACCTCCAGAACTGTGAGTAATACATTTCTATGGCTTATAAATTACCCACGCTAAAATATATTGTTATAGCACCCAGACAGACTAAGAGAATACCATATTTTGTTTATCCATTCATCTATCAAACACTTGGGTTGCTTCCGCATTTTGGTTATTGTGAATGATGCTGCTATAAATATGGGTGTACAAATGTCTCTTTGAGGACCTGCTTTCAATTGTTTTGGGTATTTATTTGGAAGTGAAATTGCAGGATTATATGGTAATTTTATTTTTAATTTTTTGAAGCACCACCATACTGTTTTCCATAGCAAATGTACAATTTTACGTTACTACCAAGAGTGCACAAAGGCTCCAATTTCTCCACATAATTTCCAACAATTGTAATTTTTTTAGAGTAAAAAATCCTAAGGGGTGTGAAGTGACATTACATTGTGGTTTTAATTTGCATTTCTCTAATGATTAGTAACCATTTCACATACTTACTATTGAGTGTGGCAACTCATATATCCTGGATATTAACACCTTATCAGATATATAATCTTCAAATATTTTCCCATATTTGTAGGTTGATTTTTTCACTCTGTTGATTGTGTCCTTTGCTGTGTAGACCTCGATTTTGACATAGTCTCATTTGTATATTTTTGCTTTCATTGCATATAATTTTAGTATCATATCCAAGAGATTATCACCAAGTCCAATGTCATGAAGACTTGCCCTTATGTTTTTCTGTGAGAGTTTTACAGTTTTAGCTCTTATTTTTAGTGCCTTAAACCTTAATTTTTATATAGGTATAAGGTAAGGGTACAATTTTATTGCTTTGAATGTGTATATCCTATTTTCACAGCACCTTTTGATGACAAGAATGTACTTTTCCCAACAAACAGTCTTGACATGCTTGTCAAAAATTATTTTACCATATATGTGAAGGTTATTTCTGGGCTCTGTATTCTGTTACATTTGTCTATATGTCTGTCTTTACACAAGTACCATAAACTGTTATAATTAGTGTAGTCTTATAATTGTTTTTAAAATCAGAATATGTAAGACTCTCCAACAGTTTTTTTTGAATATTATTTTGGCTATTCAGGGTCCCTTGAGATTACATATTAATTTTAGAATGTATTTTTCCACATTTGCAAATAATACTATTGGTTTTTGATAGGGATTACATTTTATCTGTAGGTTGCTTTGGGTAGTATTGACATCTGTCTTACTCAGCTTTGTTTTCTAGAATGAAAATACATTACACTTGGCTGAATAAACAGCAAAATTTTATTTCTCACAGTTCTGGGCACTAAAAAGTTCAAGATCAAGATGCCAGCAGATTCAGTGTCTAATGAGAGCCTTCTTCTTGGTTTAGATAATGGTCTTCCAGCTGTGTCCTTACATGGTGAAAGGAACAAGGGAGCTCTCTGGGGTCTCTTGCAAAAATATTAATACCTTTTATCAGGGCTCCATTCTCATGACCTAATCACCTACCAAAGGCCCCAACTTCTAGTACCATCACTTAGGGGGTTAATATTTCCACTTATAAATTTTGCGTGCATACATTCAGTCCATGATAACATTTGAACAAAATTAAATGTTCCAATCCATGAACATAGGATATATATTTATTTGTGTCTCTTTTAATTTATTACAGCCATGTTTTATAATTTTTAATGTACAAGTCTTTAAACTCCTCAGTTGGATTTATTTACAAGTATTTATTTTGATGCTATTGATTGTAGAATTGTTTTCTCAGTTTCCTTTTTTGATTATTAATTGTTAACATATAGAAATGCAATTAGGCTGGGCACGGTGGCTCACGCCTGTAATCCCAGCACTTTGGGAGGCTGAGGCGGGTGGATCATCTGAGGTCAGGAGTTCAAGACCAGCCTGGCCAACATGGTGAAACTCCATCTCTACTAAAAA
This sequence comes from Homo sapiens, assembly GCF_000001405.40. Classification (NCBI taxonomy): domain Eukaryota; kingdom Metazoa; phylum Chordata; class Mammalia; order Primates; family Hominidae; genus Homo; species Homo sapiens. Next base: position 4,199,654 of record NC_000024.10, on the reverse strand, counting down.
TACAAAAATTAGCTGGGCGTGGTGGCAGGTGCCTGTAATCCCAGCTACACGGGAGGCTGAGGCAGGAGAATTGCTTGAACCCGGGAGGCAGAGGAGGCAGTGAGCAGAGATCTCGCCATCACACTCCAGCCTGTGGGACAAGAGCGAGACTTCGTCTCAAAAAAAAAAAAAAAAAAAAAAAAAAAAAGAAAGCAATTAATGTTTTGTGTGTTTATTTTGCATCCTGAAATCTTTTGAATACATTTTAGCGGTTTTTTTTTATGGAATCTTCTGTGTTGTCTTTCTTTCTTTTTCTTTTTCTTTTTTTTTTTTTTTTTTTTTTTTTTATTTGAGACAGAGTCTTACTCTCTTGCCCAGGCTGGAGCGCAGTGTTGCGATCTCAGCTCCCTGCAACTTCTGCCTCCCGTGTTCAAGCAATTCTCCTGCCTCAGCCACCTGAATAGTTGAGATTACAGGTGAACACCACCATGACGCCCGTCTAATTTTTGTTTTTAGTAGAGACAGGGTTTTGCCATGTTAGCCAGGCTGGTTTTGAACTCCTGACCTCAAGTGATCCACCCACCTTGGCCTCCCAAAGTGCTGGGATTACAGGCGTGAGCCACTGTGTCCAGCTCTTCTGTGTTATCTACATAAAAGATCGATAAACCGAGATATTTTTACTTCATGTCTAATTTGAATGACTTTTTTTTTTCTTGCATAATTGTTAGATCTTCCAGTACTGCATTGAATAGAGGTGGTGAAAGCAGGCATTTTTTTCTTGTAACTAATCATTAAGCATAATCTTCAGTACTTTACCATTGAGTATATTTTTAACTGTTGGCTTTTCATATATGGCCTTTATTATGTAGAGGTAGTTTATTTTTCCATTCCTACTTTGTTGGTTGTGTTTATCATAAAAAATACTGAATTTTGTCAAGTAATTTTTCCACATATATTGACAAAATAATGTGATTTAAAAATCTCATTGTGTTAATGTGACATATTACATTGATTCATTTTTATATGTTGAACCATGTATGCATCCCAAGAATAAATCTCATTAGATCATGGTGTGCAGCCATTTTAATGTGCTGTTGAATTCTCTCTGCTAGTGTCTTATTGAAAATGTTTGCATCTATGTTAATCAAAGACCTTAGCTTGTAGGTTTGTTTGTTTTCTCTTGTCGTATCTTTGTCTGGCTTTAGTGTCAGAGTACTGTTGGCCTCATAGAATGAATTTGAAAGTCTTCTGTATTCAATTTTTTGAAATAATTTTAAAAGAATTGTCTTAATACTTCTACATGTTTGGTAGAATTCACCAATGAAGCCATCAGGTCCTAGGCTTTTCTTGGTTGGGCAGTTTTAATTATTGATTCAATCTTCTTACCAGTAATAGGATTGTCCAGATTTTCTATTTTTGTTTCATTATGCTGTCCTGTAGGTTGTGTGATATAGAAATGTTTTTATTTCATCCAGGTTATCAAATTTGTTGTCGTTCAATTGTTCACAGTATTCTCTCGTAATCCCTCATGTTCCTGAAAAATTGGTTGTAATTTTCCCTTTTCTTTCTCATATTAGTTATTTGAGTCTTCTCTCTTCCTTTCTAATTAAATTTAGCTAAAAGTTTGTCAATTTTGTTATTTTCAAATAATCTACTCATGATTTTATTTATTTTATCTATTGTTTTACTATACATTGTTTTATTTATCCCTGCTGTAATCTTTCTTTTCTTCTGCTAGTTTGGGTTTGGTTTGCTCTGCTATCACCAGTCACATAAGGTGTAAATTTAGACTGTTAGTTTGATGTTGTTGATTTTTGGTCTCTCTTTTCTTAAGCTGCAAGCATTTACAGCTATAAATTTTTCTTTTACTATTTTTCCTGTATCCCATGCATTTTGGTTTCATTTTCATTTATTTCAAGATATTTCCAAACAATTGTAGATATTTTAGTTTTTCTCCTGCTATTAATTTCTAGTTTCATTCCATTGTGACTAGAAAATATATTTTGCAGGATTTTAATCTTAAAAATTATTTAAAACTTGTTTTGTGTCTTGACATATGGTCTACGCAGGACAGTGTTCTATGTTTACCTGACAAAAATGTGTATTCTGCTATTCTTGGCCAGAGTGTTCTACGTATGTCTGTTAAGTTTAATTGGTCTGTAGTGTTGTCCAATATTATACTTCCTTTATTGATCTTACTATGTGACTGTTTATTTATTTTTAAAATTAAGATTTTGAAGTAATCTATGTTATTATAGAACTCTCAATTTCTCTCTTTAATTCTGGTTATGTTTTTTTTCATATAGTTAGGTGCCCTGATGTTTTGTTAGAAAGCTCATGGGTAAGGTTAGTTCCATAAATGATTTTGGCTATGATACTATTAGAAGTTAATGTGACAAGAAAATGTGTAGTTTACATAGTTTGGGTTTGTTTTAGAGTAAAGAAAAATGTACTTTTATTGTATCAATTCAGAGACATTTGCCATGTGAAACCACCTTAAAAAGATATTGGAAAACATTATTGATTGTCTTCAATTCTGACTTTGTAAAAGGTACAATAAAATTGTTCAAAGAGCTCTTTGCTTTACTGACACTGTAAAAGTTGAGAAAAGATTTATCTCTAATAACTGACACTTGATCCTAGGAAAACAGAGGGGAAATCTTCTAAGATTTATGAAAATGTAAATTGAAGAGAGGAATAAGCTCTCCCCCTCTTCATCCCTAAAAACGGATGTTACAATCTAAATCACTGCTCTACCAATAGGCTTTTCTAAAATTTCTCATAAATAAAATCAAATAAACTTTCTCCTTTTTGTTTTCTATAGATCACACATCTAATTCATTCGAGAGACTCATCAAGTTATTTAGGTATAAATTTAAAAAGAAGGCAACAAAAAAAGATTTACTTCACACAATTTAAAATTGGAATGCCATAAGGCATCTCTTTCTTACTCTAATATAGGTAGGCATTATTAAAATACAGAAATTTCAAAGTAACAGATACATAGGATGGACAAGTCTAGAGATTTTATGTACAACATGAGAACTATGGCTCACAATAGTATTGTATTTGAGATTCCTGGTAGATAAGTATATTTTTAAACTCTTTATTATCTATATTATACATATTGCATAACATCATGTTGATATCTTAATTATACACAGTAAAATTTATTTCTGAAGAGGATATTTAAAAAATACAGAAATTGATATCAAGATAATAAAATTGGTTGCCTACAAAATTTATATTTATGAAGTAAAAGATGAATTAGTCCTATAAATAGCTTTTTACTGCTTTTAGATTTACTGTGTAAGTAAGCATCTTATAACCTATATAAGTCTTTGTATTTTTACACTAGACTTTTTTTTTTTAAACACGCATTATATGACTAATTCCTCTTTTCTTTTACAGTTATGAACATTACAAATTTCACAGAAATACTCAACATAATCTTAGGGAAGATCATTTCTAGAAATATTTTTAAGTGATAAGGATTTAATTTTATTTCTATGACCTGTATTTATATTTAATAATTTTGTACCTTATCGTTTCTAAATAATAAGGCTTGCCAGCCTTTTATATTTCAATAGTAAAATTTCTTAGAAAGCTGAATTAATGAAGAATCACTGTTTTTCTGGAATTAGTACTGGTTCATTTGCCCATATAGTAGTGAGAGGTGACAACGTGCTAGCAGCCCTCACTCGCTCTGGGCGCCACCTCGGCCTTGGCATCTTCTCTGGCCATGCTTGAGGAGCCCTTCACCCCACCACTGCACTGTTTGGGAGCTCCTCTCTGGGCTGGCTGAGGCCAAAACAGGCTCCTCTGCTTGCGGGGAGGTATGGAGGGAGAGGGGCAGGCAGGAAGCGGGGCTACGCACAGCACTCGCGGGTCAGCACATGTTCTGGGTGGGTGCGGGCTTGGCGGGCCCCACACTCAGAGTGGCCAGCTGGCACAACCAGCCCTGGGCAGTGAGGGGCTTAGCACCCGGGCCCGCAGCTGTGGAGGGTGCTCTGGGTCCCTCAACACTGCCGGCCCGCCTGCGCCACACTCGAATTCTCACCGGGCCTCAATGACCTCCCTGCAGGACAGGGCTCAGGACCTGCATCCCACCATGCCCAAGCCCTCCCCTGCCCAACCGTGGGCTCACATGCGGACTGAGCCACCCCAACGGGTGCTGCCCCCGATCCGTGGCGTCTGGTCCCATCAACCTCCCAAGGGCTGAGAAGTGCGGGCACGTGGCGCGGGACTGGCTGACAGCTCTACCCGAGGCCCTGGCGCAGTATCCACTAGGCAATGCCAGCTGGGCTCCTGAGTCCGGTGGGGACTTGGAGAACTTTTATGTCTAGCTAGAGGATTGCAAATGCACCAATCAGCACTCTGTGTCTAGCTCAGGGATTGTAAATGCACCAATCAGCACTCTGTCAAAACGGACCAATCAGCTCTCAGTAAAATGGACCAATCAGCAGGATGTAGGTGGGGCCTGATAAGGAAATACTAATCTCAGTGCTCAGAACTTGAGTTTCAGCAAGCCTTGCCACTGTGGCATAAAGTGCACTGGGGCCTAAAGTAAACTTGAAAGGCAATCTAGGGCACAAGGACGGTGACTCCTAGGTGAGTCCTAGCGCTGAACTAAGTTCAGAGCCAGTGCACTTGGAGGACACATGGTCTACTAAGACACCAGCCAGAGTGGCAAATGGAGTGCTTGCACCACCTGTATCACAACCCCAGGCTTCAAAGCTCGCAGCTCCAAAAGAGACCTTTATCTTCTGCTTGAGAAGAGGAGAGGGAAGAGTAAAGAATTAATCTGCACTATACACCAAATGGACCTAATAGATAGTTGTAGAACACTTTATGCAGTGGTTGCAGAATATGCATTTTTTTCTCCAGTACATGGATAATTCTCAAGGATATACCATAAACCAGGTTTATAAACAGGTCTTAAAACACTCAAAAACTTTGAAATGATATCAAGCATCTTTTCTGACAACAATGGAATAAAAAATAAAACTAGAAGTCAATAACAAGAGAAGTTTTGGAAACTATACAAATGTGAAAATTAAATAATATGTTCCTGAATAACCAGCGGGTCAATGAGCAAGCTAACAATGCATCTTAAAGAACTAGAGAAGAAAAGAAAAACAAACCCAAAATTAGTAGAAGAAAATGAGAGAAATAAAGATCAGAGCAGAAATAAATGAAATTAAAATGAAGAAAACAATATAAAAGATCAACGAAACAAAATGTTGGTTTTTGAAGATAATCAAAATTAATTAAACTTTAGACAGAATAAGAAAATATATAGAAAACCCAAATTTAAAAAATCAGAGACAGGAGATATTACAACTGATACTGGAGAAATCCAAAAGATTATTAGGGGCTACTGTGAGCAATTATATGACAATAAATTGGAAAATCTAGAAGAAATGGCTAGTTATTTGACACATATAAGCTAGCAAGATTGAATCATGAAGAAATCACAAACCTGAACAAATCAATAAGAAGGAACAAGATAGAAGCCATAATAAAAAGTTTCCCAGCAGATAAAAGGCCAGGATTCAATGACTTCACTGCTAATTTCTACCACACACTTAAAAAAGAACTAACACCAATTATACTCAAACAATTCAAAAAATTGATGAGGAAGAAATACCTCCAAACTCATTCTACAAGGCCAGTTATACCTTGATACCAAAACTAGATAAAGAAACATAGGAGAAAAAAAAACACCAGAAAATGCAGGCCATTATTTCTGATGAATACTGATGCATATGCTCTCAACAAAATACTAGCAAACCGAATTCAACTATACATTAGAAAGATCATTCATCATGACCAAATGGGATTAATCCTTGGGATGCAAGGATGACTCAACATACACAAATCAATCAATGTGATACATCAAATCAACAAAAAGAAAGGCAAAAAACATATGACCATTTCAGTTGTTGCTGAAAAAGCATGTGCTAAAATTAAACATTCCTTTAGGATAATATCCCGCAGAAACTTTGGTTTAGAAGGAACATACCTCCACCTAGTAAAAGCCATATGTGAAAAACCCTTAGCTAGTATCATACTAAATTGGAAAAAAGGAAGCTTTTCCTCTGAGATCTGGATCATTACAAGGTTGCCCATTTTCACCACTCTTATTCAACATAGTACTGGAAGTCCTATCTACAGCAATCAGACAAAAGAAAGAAATAAAAGGGATTTAATTTGGAAAGGAAAAAGTTAAATTATCTTTATATGCAGACAATATAATATTAGGCTTGGGAAAAACCTAAAAAGTCCACCAAAAAATATTAGCGCTTATAAACAAATTCAGTAAAGTTACAGGATACAAAATCAACATACAAAAATCAGTAGCATTTCTATATGTTGACAGTAAGCAATCTGAAAAAAAATCAAGAAAGTAATTCCATTTACAATAGTTACAAATAAAATACCTAGGAATTAAACAAAAAAGTGGAAGATCTCTACAAAAAAACTATAAAACATTGATGCAAGAAGTTGAAGAGGACACAAAATACGGAAAGATATTCCATGTTTCCACATGGAAATATGAAAACCATAAAACACCCAGAATATCCTAAGCAAAAAGAACAAAACAAGAGGAGTCACATTATCTGACTTCAAATTACACTACAGAACTAAAGTAACCAAAATGACATGGTCCTGGCATAAAAACAGACATATACTTCAGTAGAACAGAATAGAGAACCCAGAGATAATTCATACATCTACAGTGAACTCAATTTTGACAAGTTTTCCAAGATGAGAAAAAGATGATCTCTTCAATAAATGGTGCTATGAAAACTAGATATCCATATGCAAAAGAATGAAACTAGATGTGTATATACAAAAATCAAACCAAAATGGATTAAAGACTTAACTCTAAGACCTCACACTACGTAACTACTAGAAGAAAACATTGGGAAATATCTCCAGGACATTTATCTTGTTAACAATTTCTTGAGTAATACAGCAGAAGCACAGGCACCCAAAGCAGAAATGGATAAAAATGCACATGTACCCTAAAACTTAAAGTATAATAATAAAATAAAATAAAATAAAAATGGGATCACATCAAGTAAAAACCTTCTGCATAGCAAAGGAAACAATCAACAAAGTGAAGAGGGGTAGAAATATTTACAAACTACCCATCTGACAAGAGATTTATAACCAGTACATAAAAGGAGCTAAAACAAATATATAGTAAAAAATCTAATAATCCCATTTAAAAAATAGGCAAAAAGATTTGAATAGACATTTCTTAAAAGAAGACACACAAATGGCAAACAGGTATATGACAAGGCACTCAACATCACTGATCATCGGAGAAATGGAAATCAAAACTACAATGAGGTATTATCTCACCTCAGTTAAAATGGCTTATATCCAAAAGACAGGCAATAACAAATGCTGGCCAGGATGTGGAGAAAAGGGAACCCATAAAGACTGTTGATGGGAAGGTAAATTAATACAACCACTATGGAGAACAGGTTGGAGGTTCCTCAAAATTCTAAAAATAGAACTACCATATGATCTACCAATGCTACTGCTGGGTATGTACGCAAAAGTAAGAAAATCAGTATATCAAAGAGATATCTATACTGCCATGTTTATTTCAGCAATCATCACAGTAACTAAGATCTGGAAGCAATTTAAGTGTCCATCAACAGATGATTGCATAAAGAAAATGTAGTACTTACGCAAAATGTAGTACTATTTAGCCATGAAACATGAGATTCTGTCAGTTGCAACAATGTGGGTGTAACTGGAGGTTATTATGTTAAGTAAAATAAACAAGGGACAGAAAGACAAATTCATGCTTTCTCACTTATTTGTGGGAGCTGAAAATTAAATAATTTTAACTCATGGAAGTAGACAGTAGATGGATGATTACCAGAGCCTGGGAAGTTAGTGGGGGTGAAGGGGCAAGTGAGTATTATTAATGGCTCCAAAATATAGTTAGAAAAATGAATAAGACCTAGTGTTTCCTATCACAAATAATAAGTTTTTGCTAGAATATCATGAGAAAAGAATATAGAAGGGTTTTAACTGAAGTTCTTAAGAGATCATACAAGGTATAATCATACAGCAAGAACTTGTTGACTAAGACACTAAAGGATTTATTCTGTGTCCTAACTATAGAAAGAAGAAAGAGGAAAACATTCAATAAATTATTAACTTCAACTATAGAGACTGAAAAATCTTGCTTCATTTGCAACCATTATAAAGGATAAAAAACTTCAGAATAAATTATGGTTTTAACTGTTACTGTTGTATCAAACTACTCTTACTGAGGCTTGGTTATTGATTGGTTGTTTGGTATTGAAAAATCATGTTTTTCTCCCATTATGTTAAATGTAGTCAGATCTATTATTTGCCATGAAATTTGTTGATTTTCAAATGCATTATTTTTCCACATACAGCTGTAGCTTATTCCTTAGTATTCGTCTTCATCCTCAAGTATTAAGAATCAAGACTAATAGTTTAAGTAAACAGATTATTGTTAAGGTAGAGAAAATAGGTAGTCAATAGTGTAACCTCAGGAGAGCAAATGAAATATGGCCTAACACACTGTAAAATAAACAAACTTGCCTAAACTTAAGCTTCCCCTGGGGATCTTGTTAATAATAAAAATTCCCACCCAATTTATTCCCTAAAGATTTTGATTCTGCTGGTCTAGGGTTTGGCTAAAAAAATCAATGTTTTCAATAAATGTTACCGGTGATTTTAAAAATCAGGCACATTTGAGGAATACTCCTTTAGCAAACTGAGCATTGCACTATAAAAAAACAGCCTGAGGCTTTGAAGTCTCCTGGCAAACAGGGTTTCCAGTCTCAGATCTATTACTCGCTAGCTAGATAACTGGACAAGTTCTTTGAATACTTTAATCCTTGATTTCCACATTTATAAAATGAGGATAAAAGCACTTATTGCATAAAATATGAATGTGTGTTTATGTGTGTGAAGATTAAATGAATTAATATATAGAATACCCTAGCACATGTAAGAATGTTAACAATCACTAGTCTACTCAACCTCATACTTTATTCAAACATGTATATTAACCTTAATGAATGATAGTGTTTTATTTCTTAACTTTAAGGAGTATCTTCACACTTTTCACTTGCTTTGTTAAAAAATATATATATATATATATCATCTGTCACTTCATGCATCTATGTACCAAGTAACCAAGATGCAGGTGAAAATGTCACAGATCCTGCCTGAGGCAACAATTTGGTAGAAAAGAAAATAAGATAACAAGAAAAAAATAAAATACAGTGTGAGAGGTTGTATAGTACAGTACAAATGAATTCAGTAGCATAGGGAAAGGTAAGCTTTTTAAAAATTCAGTGAAAAGGAGAGGAAGTAGGAATAGAAATAAGAATGATAATTTAGTAACTAAGAAAGTCAGGAAAAAAGGCTGGGCGTGGTGGCTCATGCCTGTAATCCCAGCACTTTGGGAGGCCAAGGAGGGCGGATCACGAGGTCAAGAGATTGACACCATCCTGGCCAACATGGTGAAACCCCATCTCTAATAAAAATACAAAAACTAGCTAAGCATGGTGGTTCGTGCCTGTAGTTCCAGCTACTTGGGAGGCTGAGGCAGGAGAATCACTTGAACCCGGGAGGAGGAGGTTGCAGTGAGCCAAGATCACGCCACTGCACTCCAGCCTGGCAACAGAGTGAGATTCCATCTCAAAAAATAAATAAATTAAATAAATAAATAAAAATAAAGAAAGTCAGGAAAAAAGAAAGAGGTCCAATTTTTTGATTCATGTACATTTTACTCTCAAATACTGCTTTCCAAAAGCGTGAACATTGATCACTAAGCTTATATCACTGGATTAACCACATGAAAATTAAAAAATGAAATATTTTTAGAGGCGTTGAATGGAAAACACCTGAATATTCCTTATTCACTCATTTAATAAATATGTGGGAAGCATCTACAATGTAAAGATCAAGAACTCAGTTTATTTATCTTTAATTTTCAATCCATGTCATTTTTTGTCCTCTAACCAATAAAATATGTCTCTAAGTGAAGTTAACAGAAGGGTACAGATTTTTTTTTATCATTGTGAAGCATTACATTAACAATAAGTATAATGTAAATGTCATTACTTAAAACATACCTTTGTAGTGTGTTTTTATTTTAATTTTATGGTCATTGGCAGATTCCCCATTTTTAGGCATGTCAGCTTTTTCTTTTTTTTAACATTACAACTTCCAGTGAAACTGAGAACTACTGTGTCTTAAAATTAGTGTTGTCTTAATTGCCTTTTCAAAATCATTTTTGTTAATTGCCACCAGAACTAGAGTGTACTTTATTTTTAATTATTCTTTCTTTTATTTTTAATTATTCTTTCTTTCTAACCCTCCACAGAGTCCCCAAAGTCAGCTTGAAACTTAAATGAAAAACTCAGATTGGTTACATTTTATCAACAACCTTACTGATATAGTTTGGATATTTGTTCCTGCCCAAATGTCATGTTGAATTGTAATCCCCGGTGCTGGCGATGGGGTCTGGTGGGAGGTGGGTGGATCGCTCAAGTCTTGGCGCTGACTTCAGGACAGTGAGTGAGTTCTTCAGAGAGCTGGTTGTTTAAAAGTGTGTGACACCACCCTACTCTCTTTCTCCCTCTCTCTCTGTCTCACTCCTGCTCTGACCATGTGATGTGCCTGCTCCCGCTTCACCTTCTGCCATGAATGTAAACTTCCTGAGGCCTCATCAGAAGCCAAGCAGATGTGTGGTGCCATGCTTCCTGTACAGCCTGCAGAACCTTGAGTCAATTAAGCCCTTTTTCTTTATGAATTACCCAGTCTCAGTTATTTCTTTGTAGAAATACAAGAATGGCCTAATACACTCACTTATTGCAGAGTCACTCTATTAGTCCACAGATGTCGAGGCAACATAAGACATTATCCGTCATAGTAACTCTCCATAACCACATGCTATTTGCATGCAAAACATGCTTGCCTGTTGAGACCATGAAACTAAACACATTTTTTTTTTAGAAAAAACACTGTTTTAAGCAATGACAGAACTATTACTTTTTATATTTTCTTCTCACAAATTACTAAATTTTCCTTTATGTGGTAATAATAGGAGGGACTATCCGAAGTTGTAGAACGATTAGTAAGAAAACAGTTTTGCAGAACACAGTGTTAAAATACAATAATCTCAGTTTTTTTTTTACCAATAAGACATTTGACACAACAATAATATTATTAGTTTTGCATAATGTCCTTTAAAGAATGGAAAGAGCTTATGTCAAGTGTGTTAAAGCCTTTATTTTAATATGTAGCATAGAAAACCCTTTCATTGTCCTTATTTAAAGGTTTAGATATTTTCATTATTGCCTGAAAACCCTTTCATAGTAGATACCCACACTCTCATAATAGTTCAAACCCATTGTTTCTCTATAGGTGTATCTATTCATATAACCAGAGAAGCAATTGTTAATAATATTTATACCATTTTAAAGATCAATTTCACTACAATGAACTGAAATCTAAGAAGTTGATCTAAAACCATTGTCTTAACTCACTTGCTATATTTTTGAAATATTTCTGAAAACAATTAAGACTGTTTAGTTACAAACTACTATTTTTTTCAGTGACCCTATTGAATTGAGGTTATCCAATCATGCTCTCTAGAGATTCTCTCTAGAAGTGCATTTCCATTACACTAGTGGAATAGAAATTGAAGTTATATGTATGCATGTGCGTGTATGTGTGAGAAGATGTGACAGAGACAAAGAAGGAGAGAGAACAATAGAGAAGAATAAATTAGAAAAGGCTCTTAGGTATATCATGCATTAATAAAATGAATGTGTTATCTAAGTTTATATCTTATATTGTGATAAGTAGAAACGCATAAACTCTACTTACATGGATATATTGATACAAAATAAATGCATAAGAGAATTAAGACAGATAAAAATCAATAAATTACACTTATCCTTCAGATTTGACATTGAAAAAATATATGCTTATCTTACTTTAACAGTAAAGAATATGTAAGTTGTTACACAAATCCTCCTCAAAAAATTTGTTCACAACTTCTATGATTAATGTAAAATGAACTACAGTATCTTGTACTTGATAGGTGAGAGAAATTTTAATTTTGTGATGGCAGTCTTACATCATCTGAGTGACTGAACTAGCAAAAACAGTAGCAACAGCAATACTCACCACTAAATCAAGGTAAGTGGAGTGCTGCTTAGAAACCACACAGAAAACATATGCATTTTGAAACATTACATATACTTACTCTCAGATGGATTTGCTTGTTTTATCTGTTGTGTTAAACAGAAATATTTCAAATAGTTCCTAACAAGATAATTGTACTTTCCACTTTCAGCATGTTTAAAATGAGAACACATGGACACAGGAAAGGGAACATCACACACTGGGGACTATTGTGGGGTGGGGGGAGTGGGGAGGGATAACATTAGGAGATATACCTAATGCTAAATGACGAGTTAATGGGTGCAGCACACCAACATGGCACATGTATACACATGTAACAAACCTGCACGTTGTGCACATGTACCCTAAAACTTTAAGTAAAATAATAATACAATTTTAAAAAAATGAAAATTCCAAGTGTTTTACAAATATAAACACATTAATGTTCTTGTATTCCTGTTAAGTTAGTGAAAAAATGGAAGGCACACTTTTTCCCTCCAGAACATAAAATTTAGGCATCTTCCCCTGGCTTGTACTAGAATATAAATGGTAAATTTCTTTTCAAGAAAAGTAATTATATTTCTCCTCTTTGGTCTCTTTTTTTGGAGTCCTTTTAAATTATATTCAATGATTTTCATCTAGTTCTTTCTTTATGATAAAAAATTAATTACAAGTGATAGGAGTATGGAAAAGTGATAAATATATTTATAAGTTTTTCTTGTTTCTACAAAAGAAAATGCATCCCAATGATACATAATCTCTGCAGATCCCTTCTCATATCACTTAAACCTTTGACAGACCATCACATATTTTCATATAATTTTGCTCTCAGTGAGCTGAAAGTAAATAATTATTTATAAGATCTTTATAAAGCAGTTACAGTGAATCGTTCTATTTTCACTAGACAAATAATAATGCAACAGGTGTGGTGCGTTATCAACTATAAGGTTGGAATCCAACAACCCATGCTCCGATTGTGTTTCACAAAACAGTGTTCTATTATCTCTTGATCATGTGGCCCCACGTTAGTCTGTTTCCTCAGTTTTTCTGAAAACATTTAAAATATTAAATCAAAAATGTCATAGTCTTCATGTTACTTCATAAAATTACTAGTTTTGTGTAGATAGCTTAACTATTTATGGCCTTAAGGGCTTTCTTTTATACACCATAGCTTCTTTTTTAAAATTTAAATGAAAATAACATAGAAAAGAATTCCAGGCAGATAATCTGATTCAACACTGACAGAAATGTTGGGGGAGAAAGTGCCATGGGTGGATTTTGTCTGGATACCTATGTCTATTCTCAGCCTTGGCCAAACCACTTGAACATCTTCAGGTCTCAGTATCAATGTGATGCTATAGCAAATCAATGTGCTGCTATAGCAAAGAGCCCTTGCAATTTGTGCTAGGTACTTGTTTTAATTCAAGTTCTTTGTGGTTAGAGGAAGCCCCACTAGGAGACATAGCAGTCTAGATCTCACTTAGGTCAAAGGTGTAAGAGTAGGCAGCAGAGTTTGCAGAGTAGAGAATGGTGAATTAAGTAGAGTTGAGAGGTACTCAGTGAAATTGAGAATGTAGAAATTCAACCAATATTTTTGAACACTTAGAAAGTGTACAAAATCCTGTGTTGAGTGCAATAAGAATATAATGATGAATCAGGCTGGTTCCTGACATTCAGATCCATGTTTGTAATTAAGAGACACAACAAAAAATGTACTGAAATAATAACAAGGTAGAACAATATTAATGTCATAGCGTGAAAAATTAAATTGAAACAGTAGTTCAGGAGAAAAGAGCTTTTATTCTTGATGGAAGGGCAAAGGAGGATTTCAATAAAGAAACTGATTTTAGCTACACCTTAAAAGATAACTAAAATATTGTGAGTTGTTCAAGAGAGTTGGAAAAATTATGGGCATTCCAGATAGAGAGAAGTGTATTAGGAAAGAAAGTTGGCAGGCTGTGAAGAACCTGTAAAAGTTGGAACTAAATTGAAAACATTAAGTCGAATTCAGAAAACATGATGTTAATGAAAATATACTATAGGATTTCTGTGTATGTGTCACAGAGCATAAGAGGAAGTTAAGTTCGATAAGAAATAGGAGAGATAATCAGTCCCCCACAAATGAAATAAATGTCTTTGAGCTGAGTGGCTTTTTGGCAAGCTTTCCAAAATAATCTATTTCTCTCTGGGATGGATACATATTAGAGAAAAGATGGATGTGAGACTGGAGTAGGTTCAGCATCTAGCCAAGAAAACCAGGAGGCAAAAGAAGGGCTAACACATAGTGAGCTCCAACTTGTTTCAACCCTAGCCATAGTAATTCCTGTTTTGTGCTTGGACTACAAAGTCCTGCCACCCCTACAACACACTCAGAGTTCTCATGAACTCTGAAACTACAAAGTGTTTCAATAGGGCTTTGGAGAAGAATAAAGCTTCGTGTAATAATAAAGTTATTACATGGATTGGCCTTTGTCTCTAAGTTTTTGATTTTGCGCAAGTGCAACTTTTTTTCTAAATGATACCAAAGCCTAAACTTCCTTAGCAAGCATATTTACTGGGTTTGGTCTCATTCCACAGTGAGTAAAACATGATCAGTGGTGGTGTTTGGAAACCAATAGGGATAATTTTTATACCTTGGGAGAGAATCTCAAGAAGACAATTTAGTCAGCCCACAAGAGCCCCTACAAGGACAACGCAGAGTGGCTTTAACATTGTTCAGAACACTGTAAGAGTACAACCACTAAGATTCCCTAGTGATTTCACAAATACTTTGTTAGTAACTCTACCAGCTACTAAAATGTGTGTTATTCTTCAAACAAGGCTTGGATTTTTCTTTTAAAATACACTACAATATTTAGACCAGAAATACAACAAAAATACTGATATAATCCACAGGCAATACTACACTTCCCCCTTATCCATGGTTTTGCTTTCCATAGATTCAGCTATCTGCCATCAACTGTGGTCCAAAAATACAAAATGCAAAATTCCATAAACAATTCATAAGTTAAAATTGTCATGCCATTCTGAGTAGCATGATAACATTGATGCTGTTTCACTCTCTCATGCCCAGAGATTATTTCTTTGTCCAACATATCCATGGTGGCTATGCTAGAGCCCATTAGTCACTTAATAGCAGCCTTGGTTATCATATAAATAAAACAGTGTAACAGGCTTTGATGCTATCTGCTGTTTCAGGCATCCATCAGGGGTTCTTGGAACATATCCCCTGTAGGTAAGGGGGAAATACTGTATATGATGTGTTATAAGGGCTTTCCTGCAGTGCTGCAGGGTGGTAGAGTGTATTAGGGTTGTGAAGTGGAATTAACCTTGATTTGTAGCCCAATGTGACCACTAACAACTAAAGTAATTAAATTTGATTATTATCTCACTTTTCTTACTGTCATTTTTCCTGTCTAAAAAAATTGAAATAATTTTTTATTTCCTCTGGTTTTTTGCAAGACTTAAGTGAGATAATATGTGTGAATTACCTGGCACAATGCCTGGCATAGAGTATGTATTCATTTGGAAAACTGTGTCTGTATATTGAAATGAAGGCATTAAGAAGTGTCTCTGAGCAGCCAGTCCAATAAACAGAATTCAAATAAAAAATATTTTATGGCATCTAACCATGTTTTTGAGCCTATGTGTTATTATTATTATTCCAGCAAATATTCTTTTACATATGGGGAAGGAAACTTTTTTATGGCCAAAGCTGCCGGAACGTAAACTCTGTAATAAGCACAGACATAAACTGTCTTGCTTGCTGTTGTATCCTGGAGTCCTAAGAGAGTATCTGGGACTTCAACCATTATTTACTCAATGAAAGGAATTCACATCCATTTAGGGAAACCACTAACCCAGAGATGTTAAATACATTTTAAACATGTGGTTCCTTGAGGTCATTTCCTTTGCAGGACATGGAAGGAACGTCAGGCCATTATCCTTAACATTATCCTTAACAACTAACACAGGAACAGAAAACCAAATACCACATGTTCTCTCTCATAACTGGGAGCTAAATGATGAGAACTCACAGACACATAGAGGGGAACAACACACACTGGGGCCTATCGGAGGGTGGAAGGTGGGAGGAGGGATAGGATCAGGAAAAATAACTAATGGATACCAGACTCGATACCTGGGTGATGAAATACCCTGTACAACAAACCCCATGACATACATTTACCTATGTAACAAATCTGCACATTCGGCACACATATCCCTGAACTTAAAAGTTAAAAACAAAAATATGGTTCTTCAAAAAACAGTCTTGATTCCTTGTGAGATAGTCTAAAAAATGCATTCTTAAGTATGAAAGTCTCCCTTCTCAAAAGCCAAGCTTCAATCCAGTCCCCAAAGAACCCAAGAGAAGCAATCTGTCAACAACCTGAAGTTAACTTTGGAATAACTTTAGATATGTGTACACATCAGAAAGTCATTGTCATTATGATGTTGTGTGTGTGCAGAAAGAACAAAACAAATTCTTAAGAAAGAATAGTGCATATATGATCTTAAACATTTATATTACTAAAACATAAATCAAAACTGTATTTTTAGTAGTTGTCCCAGGGCATTAAGCTGATTACAATATGGAGACCTCTAAATTAAACTGTAACACACATTTCATTTTATTTTTCAGTGCATCGCTGCCCATATTCAAATTTTCATATAATAAATCTAATGAGGAAATCTATGTATGAAACATTAGCATTTTATGTTTTATGTCAGAACTTTATTTCACCGCAGTAAAAGTTACACAGATTTGAACTTGATGTTTCCTACATTAAAACAATCAAATATTTTAATGTGATTCATGTACATGTGTAAATCACACACACTCTCTCTTGCCAACATATTTTCCTGGAAACGCCCCAACTGTGATTAAAGCCATCTTTCCCTCTAATTTATGCCTACATATATGAGCAGATAAACAGAAAAAAGCTCAAACCACCCAGACTCGACTCACTTTAAATTTATGGCTGTAAGCTTAAAAAAAAAATACTAATTTAAATATTGGTTCAGAACCATAAAGTAGTTAATTTCCTAACAGGATTTAACTTGAACAGATAAAATTTTAGCTAAATGTTTCTTCTCTTCATGAAATTTCATAATTCCAATATACATATTGTTTACGTTAATCACTTTTGCAATATTCATACAAGCAGCAAATCCCAATAAGATTTTCTTTTCTTATACAAACATAAGACATGTAAAGGAACCTCTAACATAATAAAAATGACAACTGAGGCCTTTCTTTAATTTAAGGAGCCTAGGAGATTGGATATGTTTTACACACAGGAATATTAGGAATTCTGCTGTTCTTATTAAGCTATGAGCCAGGTTCAGGATGGGAGTCTATAATCTTACAGATCTCCAGGTATCATGAAGTTATATTCTGCACCATGCAGTCTATGCTATTATTTTTTAATCCTTACTTATATTTTATTACATTATATTTGCATTATAATATTTAAATTGTTAAATTATAATATTAAATTATTAAATTACAATATTAAATTATCAAATTATAATATTTAAATTATTGCATTATATTTACATTATAAAATTACACTTTTAATTATAAAATTTAAATTTAAAAAGTACACTTATAGGCTGGGTGCAGTGGCTCACGCCTGTAATCCCAGCACTTTGAGAGGCCAAGGTGGGTGGATTATGATGTCAGGAGATTGAGACCATCCTGGTTGACATGGTGAAACCCCATCTCTACTAAAAATACAAAACAATTAGCCAGGCGTGTTGGAGGGTACCTGTAGTCCCAGCTACTTGGGAGACTGAGGCAGGAGAATGGCATGAACCTGGGAGGCGGAGCTTGCAGTGAGCAGCGATCGTTCCACTGCACTCCAGCCTGGATGACAGAGCGAGACTCCATCTCAAAAAAAAAAAGTACACTTATATACTTATATTTTATTATGTTATTATGATATAATTCAGGCATACCAAAAATATAGACAATAATATAATTAAGACACACTTCTATTTAAGCCAGGTTAAAGTATAAAGGAGACCATTACATTATATTTGAGTTGTAACATACTTTGAGCCTATGAATGTTGTTTTGTGTGAGATTGGTCTCTTGAAGACAGCAGTTGGATTGGTCTTGTTTTTTTTTTTTTTTTAATTCAACTTGCCCCTCTATGCTTTTGAAGTTGGCTATTTAGACCATTTGCATTCAAGGTTAATATTGATATGTGAGGTTTTGATCCTATCGTAAAGTAGTTAGCTGATTTCTTTGTAGTTTCTATTGTGTGGTTGCTTTAGAGGGTCTGTGGGCTATGTACTTAAATGTGTTATTGTGGTCACAGGCATCATTCTTTCATTTCCATATTTAGAAATCCCTTAATAATCTCTTCTAATGTTGGCCTAGGGGTAATAAATTCCCTTAGAACTTGTTTATCTGAAAAGATTTTATTTCTCCTTCATTTTTGAAGCTTAGTTTGCTGGGATATTAAATTCTTCGTAGGAATTTCTTTACTTGAATATTGCTAGAAATAGATCCCCAGTCTCTCCTGGCTTATAAGATTTCTGCTGAGAACTTCACATGTAACCTGATGGAGATGCCTTTGTACATGATCTGATCTTTTTCTTTAGTTGGCCTTAATATTTTTTCCGTAGCATTTATTTTGGACAGTCTGGTAAATATGTGCCTTGGCCATGTTCATTTTTATAGTATCTCACAGGTGTTCTCTGGATTTCTTTTTTATTTGGATGTCTGCCTCTCTAGCAAGATTAGAGGGATTTGCTTGAATTATTTCCTCAAATATGTTTTCCAGGTGGTTTGCTTTTTTTCCCTTCTCTCAGGAATGCCATTAATTCATAGGTTTGGTCACTTTATATAATCCTGTATTTCTTGAAGAAATTTTTATTTCTTAAAATTCTTTTTTCTTTATTTCCGTGTAACTGGGTTAACTTGAAGGACCAGTCATCCAGCTCTGAAATTCTTTCTTTTGTTCTTTCTAGATTATTGATAAAGCTTTCAATTGCATTTTAAATTCTTAGGAGAGGATTTTTCTATTCCAGAAGCTCTGATTGATTTTTAAGATGTCTATCTCTTTCTTCATTTCATGGATTGCTTTAGAAGTTTGTGTTGATTTTTAACCTTGTCTTGGATCTCATTGAACTTTCTTGTAATCCATGCTTTGAATTATTTATCTGTAATTTGTGAATTTCCCTTTTTGTTAGATTCCATTGCTAGAGAGCTAGTGTGATCCTTTGATGGTGTCATCACATTCAGATTTTTTACGGTGTTAGAATTTTTGTGCTGGTTCCTTCTCATCTGGAGATGGTGGCACATTAAATTTTTCTAATTATTTTAATGCTGGTAGGATTTTTTTCTTTTTATTTCTTCCCCTATAACAATATTTTTCCCATTCCCTTTTCTCCCCTCCCTAGGGGTACAACTGTAGAGAATGCTGGGTAGTGTCCTTTGGCTTTGCCTCTATAGACCCATGCACTTCTTTTGGCAGGTTTTATATTGGTCTGTGCAGTTCAATGTACAAGCCAGCAGAGAGTACTTATAGGGGTAAGAGATGGCTGCAGCCAACGCAGTTCTGTATACATTATTTTTTACTGGCAGAAGCTCTCTGTTGCCTCAGGCAATTAGCTGATTACTAGAATATTTAGTGAACTGAGCCCTCTGCAGAACCCTGCATTGTTGTGGACAGTGATAAATGGGGCCAGACTGGGCAGTTCTGCCTTCAGGTCCCATGATGGCAGCCACAAGCACTTTCAGTGACAGAAAATCCCATGGGTCACCACCAAGCACTCAGAGATGTGCCTAGGCATGGAGCTGAAGAACCTCTTCAGCCCCAAAATCTCTGCACATTAATGAGAGGTGGCGTAATCTCCTAATACAGGAGAGTGTGTTCTTCAGATGCCGAGAAGTCTTCCTTGGCTTGAAGTAGAGTGGGTCCCCTGCACCAAGATGTCTGCACAGGAGAGGTGGGGCAACTCAGGCTGCTGAACCAGACTAGCAGGTGCTCTGAATTCCTGGAAATCTGCCTGAGCTTGTAAAAGTGAGCTCCACTCCCACAACCCCCACCTGCACAAGGATCTCTGCACAGGAAGGGTGGGGAAGTTCAGGCTGCTCATCCAGCTGACTGATGTTCCAAATACCTGAATATCTGCTTTGGTAGTGGAGCAGACAGGTCCTTGCTGCTCCACAATCTATGTTCAGAAAGAGTAAGGACTAAGAGCAGGATGCCACTTGGCTGCTGAACCAGACAAGAGGATGCTCCAAATGCCTAGATTTCTGTCTGGAGTTGGAGCAAAGAGGGCCTTGCTACACAAGATGTCAGGAGTGCAGGCTGGGGCACCCAGCAATAGCACATATGGACCAGTTCTAGGTCACCAAGCTGGCCCTGACTGCAGTCCTTGCCATCCAGGAGAAACTGCAGCTGTAGCAGCTCTCCTCCTGCCCCAGGATTGTGACTGGGGAGAGCATAATCCCAGCATCTACTGCTGCTTTCCATAGCTCTGGCTAAGGAGGCCCTTACCCCACTCCAGAGAGAGAACTCCAGTGTTTGGCCTGAGACTGAAATGCCTGCATGGCCATGTTTGTGAGTCACCAAAGAATGGCTGACTATGCACCTTGATTAAAAGTGGCATCCTGCTCTCAGTCCCATGTTTGAGAAAATACCTGAAGCTTTTCCTGGTATCTTTTCCTCACAGTATCTCCAAGCCTATCCTGAAGTTGCTGCCAGGGCTTGGGAGAAACAAAGTGCTCTCCTTCAGCCTTGGTTGCTCAAATGTCCAGGGAAAAGGTGAGTCACCGAGGGAGGCTCTCTCCCTCTCTCACATACTGGGGCTTCACTCACTTGTATCAGACAGATACCATCACAGGGGCTGTTTACAAGCGTTCTTCTTGGGATCTGTGGTGTCCTTTATGATTCTAGTGGATTCCAATTTTTTTCTTCTCAAAGAAGAGTTCATCTTTATGCACTATCTTGCTATCTCCAAGTGGCTAAGGCATGCTGAAAGCCTCTAATTAGTTATCTAGAGAAAAAAGAAAGTTATATTTTAAATTTGATCTTTTTGTTCTTTTAAAGTTATACATGTACAAAATTTGAACATAAAGCAAATTCTACAAACCTTATAATGAGAATTAGCAGTTGCTTGGCTCAATCCCTTCTGACCTTGAAATTCTTCTCCCTAGATTCAACCATACTCAATTGTTCTAAGACTTTTGTGGTATTTTTTAATATTTCTAAGTAATATGTTTATTCTATTATTTATTTATTTTTCAATTTGGGGGAATATAAGGAATGATTATAAAGTAATGGTTAAATACATATATAGACATACAAGCTTATATACACATATGTCACAAATTTGCATAAATGTAAACATGCTTTAGGTACTTACTACATTATGAACTATAAAATCTGATATTATTATTTTCTTTTGGGAATTTTAATGTTTAGTATCCATTTAATATGTCATAATATTATTTTTTAATATTCTGTAATATTCTGATTGTTTTCTTTTTTAGATAGGCTCAGATTTTTTAGTCTTATCCTAAAGGTATGTATTTTTAATTATTAACAAATTATCCCTGGAGGCTCCTGCACTTTATTCTACCTAACAATTTATATTTGGTATTATCTAGTCTTTTTTCATGGCTCATATAACAATGACTTTATTTTCTTACCTCTGGTAACTCTCTTACATTAAAACAATCCTGCAGAATTCAAAATCAACTATCAGAATTCTAAGTGGATGCTTGAATTTTTTTTAGAGTAACGTTGTAACATAGAATTGCAGCTTGAACTATAGAATATTATGAAAGCTTTGTATGAAATTAAATTTGTTGTTTAAAGTTCATAATACACAAAATTACATAATTTTACAAAACCAAAACAATTATACTTAATAAAATAACAGTTAAATCATAGAAACAATTATAATACTTTTGTGGAAAAGTACACATCTCAATTAACTTATTAAGTCTTTAAAAATTAAATAATAGAGAAATATATATTATGAGGATATCCTCCGTAAAAATTACAATGTTAGCATGAAATTTTTAGTTTACTCAGTTGAATTTTTAATGTTGTTTCCAGTATTTGAATATGTTCACCACTTACATGACTGTCATTTCCTGTTTCCACAATCTTTGCAAGATTGAAAAATGAATACAAATGAAATTATACTGATACACAGAAAGAGCTATTTGGATTTTTATACTTTGCTCCTATTGTTGGTATTCCAAGCAACCACTGTAAAAAATCTTTCAAATACATATAGTTTTGACTAATGTTTTGATTAATGCCTTGTTTTTTTCTCACCTAATATCAGAATTTTCACTATATTCAGTGTAACCTTTTGAAGAACAAGACCCTGGAACACTTTGTTTACCTAGTCCCATGAAAGTTATAAATATGGTATGTCCCACTTTATACTGAATTAACTTAAAAAGGAGATGATGTAGCATAATGGCTAAAAGCTAAATCTCTAGAGTCAAAAAATCTAGGATTGAACTATGGTTCTACCATTTACTAGGTTTTCAATCATTTTAGGTCTCAGATTTTTCATTAGTAAATGGAGGATAATAATACCTACCTCCCGGAATTGTTGTAAGGATTAAATGTAATTATGTTTTTATGAGGCACTTAAAATAATGCCTTGCATACAATAATTACTCAATATAAAATGTTAGCTATAATTATCACTGGAATAAAAGTTTTCTAGCTACTTCTATTGCATGCGTCATATGAAGTGTAGTTTTGGATCCAGGCTACACAATGGCTGCTGTGGATGCTAAATAATAAGATAGTTGGAACACATTGCACTTCTTTTCAGGGCCAGGGCAAGAGTTCAACCATTATCAGCAGTGAATAAACTAATAAAGAATTTTTTTTTTTCCACCCGGTACAGAATGGAGAACATGGGCCAAGATAAGCAGGCATGAGAAATCCGTAGTGGTAATAAATGTGGTTTCATCAGTTCCAGCCAATGGTCTAAATGGGTTCTCACTATGTAAGGAATGAATTTAAAAAGATGCCTAAATTAGATCAAAACTTCCTTAGTCTGGGTGGTATATGTGGATTTTACTCTGGTTCACCATAATTATTAGGTTAATTATAGAATGTTTATTTTATCTTCAAACTTTATTATAATTTGTACTTTATTTTCCTTTAAAGCGTTGTTCTTTTTCTCTGTTTTTCATTCCCCAAGAATATACAAAATAGGAAACTTTTTTAGAAAATGGCATTTTAATAAGAGCACAAAATATAAGATTAAGATACTTGGAATGGCATTCCTTCTCTGATATTAATCAAGCCTGTTCACCTTGAAATATCACATAATGCCTATTCTTCTCTGATTTTTTTAATAAGCTGGTATAATGATCAAATAAAAATAATGTGGCTTCTATGTTTTTTGGTTGGATTGTTTTATGGTGTTAATATTATTTTATCAACCCTATTAAAATTATATTAATATTTCCTGCACTGAAGGACAAATGTAAAATATGATAGATTTAATGTAGATAAATTTTAAGTCATTGAGAAAAGTAAAAATAATGTTTATTAGAAACCTTATATGTGGAAATTGCTCATAATAAAGATAAACATAACAAAATTTGAGGCTTCCTTGCCTTTCCATTTCTTAAATGTTTCTACATTTTTAATTCTTCTATGTCTTAAACATTTCAATGTCTTAAAATAAAGGGAGAAATTACAGAGAAAGAGGACTGATTTGCAAGTAAAGAGATGGTAGTAGTAGATAATTTCTGGAAACTACACAGAAACACAGCAGCATAATATTAATTATGCAGTTTCTTTTCTCTAAAATGATAAAGAAAAAACATTTGAAAATGACACATAAAAGTGTAATTTGTTTTGAGAAAGAAGCTTTCAAAATTCACAGTGGTCCTGCCTACAGTGAATAGGAGTCAGTGAGATAAATTGTGAAGAACATGGATGGTGGAGTCAGTTTGTATCATAATGGAAATGTTATTTAATTACTCTGTCCTCTAATTTCCTCCTATGAGAAAGCAGGAAAATAAAAAATAAAAAACCATGGTAAGTTTGCTTTGAAGCTTATATTGGACAATATATGTAAAGGATAGTGTCTAGAAATACTTGGTGTTTGTAAATATTTAATTTCTTATTTTCTTTTCTGTGAAATAGAGAAATTATTAATTATGAATTTTTATCATGTTTAAATTGACATTACAACTGTAACAATATCTAAACATCATGCTTTCCATTGGCCAATAAGTTGACCAAACTGAACAAACATGTCTGTATGAACCAAAGTTACACGTATTTATCAATACAATGAAAAGTTAATTCTTAGGGTACAGCAAATATATCTGTGTTATGACATATTTAAGTTTCTGTTAAGAATAAATAAAAGGTGCTCATTTCAGAAGCACATATACTAAAATTAGAACAATACAGAGAAGTTTAGAATGCCCCCTGGCAAAGATAACATGCAAATATATGAAGCATTCTGTATTTGTACTATCTAAGGTCAATGCTAAAGAAAAGAATCTTAAAAACAGCTAGAGAAAAGGGTCAAATTACCTATAAAGGAAATCAAAACAGAGTTAAGAGCAGACTTCCCAGGAGAAACTTTACAAGCCAGATGAGATTGGGGGCCTATTTTTAGACTTCTTAAGAAAAATAAATGTCAACCAAGAATTGCATATCCTGCCAAACTAAGCCTCTTAAAGAAGAAGTTAAAAATTTCCCAGATAAGCAAATGCTAAGGGAATTCATCACAACCAGACCAATCATGTAAGAAATGCTCAAAGGAGTTTTAAACGTGGAAAAAAAAAAGACAATACTTGCTACCATAAAAGCACACTTACAGACAAAATCCACAGGTCCTCTAAAGCAGTTACACAATTGAGACTACACTGTACCTAGTCAAAAACACTATGACAGGAACAAAACCTCACATATCAATATTAACTTTTAACATAAATGGCCTAAATACTCCACTTAAAAGATGTAGACTGGCAAATTGGATTTAAAGATGACCCAAACATCTGTTGCCTTCAAAAACCCACCAAACATGTAATGACCCCCACAAACTCAGAATAATGGAGTAGAAAAAGATATATCACACAAATGAAAAACAAAAAAGAAGCAGGGGTTGATATTCTTGTATCAGATAAAATAGACTTTAAAACAACAGTAAAATAAAAAAAAGACAAAGAAAGGCATCATATAATGCTAAATGGCTCAATTAAACAAGAAAATTTAATTATTCTAAACATATATACACCCAACACCAGAGAACACAGAGTAATAAAACAAATATTACTAGACCCAATAAAGAGACAGACATTCATATAATACTAGTAGGGAGCTTTAAAACCCTACTAGAAGCACTAGACAGATCACTGAGGCAGAAAACTAACAAACTCTGGAATTAAATTGGACTCCTGAACAATAGACCCAATACACATCTACACAAAATTACGCTAAAAAGATATATAATTTTTTCTCATCTGTGCATGGAACATTTTCTAAAATAGATCATATGCTTGGTCATAAATAAAGTCACAATCTTTTTTTAAAAATCTCAATCATATCAAGCACCTTTTCAGATCACAGTGAAATAAAATTAGAAATCAATACTGAGAGAAACTCTCAAAACCACACAAGAACATAGAAACTAACTTCATTCTGAATAATTTTTGTGTAAGCAATAAAAGGCAGAAATTTAAAAAATGAAGTAAATGGAAACAGAGAAATAACATACTGAAACTTCTGTGATACAGAAAGTGTTAAGGGGAAAGTTTATAGCACTAAATGCCTACATAAAAAAAAATAAAGATCTTAACAACTTTCACATTATGAATAATATTACAGAAATACAAAAGCTTCTTAGAGACTGCTATGAACATAAGTATGCACACAAACTAGAAAACCTAGGGGAAATGGAAAAAATCCTGGAAATATACAATCTCTCAATATTGAACTAGGAAGAAGTTGAAATCCTGTACAGGAAAATAATGAGGTATGAAAATGAATTAGTAATAAAATTTCTACCAAAAGAGAAAATAGAACCAAGCAGATTCACAGTCAAATTCTGTCAGATAAAGAAGAGCTGGTACCAATCTTACTGAAACTGTTCCAAAAAGTCAAGAAAGAAGAATTTCTTCCTAATTTTACAAAACCAGTATCATCCTGATAGCAAGATTCAATAAAGACACAAACGACAATGACAACAAATTACAGGCCAATATCTCTGATGAACATGTAGACAAAAATCCTCCACAAAATACTAGCCAAATGAATCCAGCAATAACACAAAACATAATTAATCATGATCAAGTGTGTTTCATTGCAGAGATGAAAGGATAGTTCAAAATACATAAATCAATAAATCTGATTAACCACATAAACAGAATTAAAAAAAAAAACCATATGGTCATCTCAATAGAGGCAGACAAAGCATTTGATAATACCCAACATCCCTTTATAACTAAAGCCCTCAACAAACTAAGCATTTAAGGAACATACTTCAAAATAATAAGAGCCATATATGATAAACCCACAGCCAGTGTTATACCACATGTGGAAAAGTTGAAAATATTTCCCCTAGGAACTGAAGCAAGACAAGGATGTCCACTTTCACCACTGCTATTTAACATAATACTGGAAGCCCTAGTCAGAGAAATCAGGCAAAAGAAAGAAAGAAAAAAAAGGCTTCTAAATTGGAAAAAAAAAGAAGCCAAATTATCTCTGACTGCTGATGACATAATCTTATACATAGAAAATCCTAAACAGTCCTCCAAAATACTCCAAGACTTGATAAAGAAGTTTAGTAAAGGTCCAGGATGCAAAATTAACATACAAAAATTAGTTGTATTTCTATGCACCAACACTCAAACTGAAACCAAATCAGGAACTAAATCCCAATTACAATAGCTGTATAAACAAAAAATACCTGGCAATGCATTTAACCAAGGCAACGAAAGACTGCTACAGGAGAACTACAAAACACTGATGAAAGAAATTATAGATAACACGGACAAATGTCAAAACATCCCAGTCTCATGGATAAGAAAAATCAGTATCATTTACATGACTATACTGCCTAAATCAATCTACAGATGCAACACAATTTCTATCAATTTACCAATGTTATTTTTTACAGAATTAGAAAACAACTATTCTAAAATTCATAGAAAACCAAAAATATCCTGAAGAGCCAAAGCAATCCTAAGTAAACAAGCAAAACAACAACAACAAAAAAACTGGAAGCATCTTGTTACCTGACTTCAAACTATATTACAGTGCTATAGTAACCAAGGAAGCATGGTACTGGTATAAAAATACACACATAGATCAATGGGATAGAGTAAGGAACCCACAAATAAAGCCACATACATAAAAGAAACTGATCTTTGACAAAGTTGTCAAAAATAAACAATGGGGAAAGGATATTCTATTCAATAAATGGTGCTAGGAAAACTGGGTAGGCATATGCAGAAGAATGAAACTGGACCACTAGCTCTCATTACGTACAAAAATTAACTCAAAATGGATTAAAGACTTAAATGTAATACCTGAAAGTATAAAAATACTAAAAGAAAATCTAAGAAAAATTATTCTGGACACTGGCTTAGGCTAAGAATTTATGATTAAGACTTCAAAAGCAAATGCAATAAAAACAAAAAATATGTCCAGTGGGACTTAAACTAAAGAGCTTCTGCACAGCAAAAGAAATGATCAGAAAAGTAAACAGTCAACCTACAAAACGGCAGAAAGTGTTTTCTAACTATGCATCTGACAAGGGACTAATATTCAGATTATATAAAGAACTTAAGCAAATCAACAACAAAAAAACACAAATAAATCCATCAAAAAGTGGGCAAAGAACCTAAACAGAGATTTCTCAAAAGAAGACATACACGTGGTCAATAAACATGTGTATAAGTGATCAACATCACTAATTATCAAAGAAATGCAAATTAAAACCACAATGAGATATCATCTCACACCAGTCAGAATGACTATTATAAAAAGTCAAAAACTAACAAATGTTGGCAAGGATGCAGAGAAAATAGAATGCTCATACACTGTTGGTGGGAATGTAAATTAGTTTAGTCATACGGAAAACAGTATGTAGACTTTTCAAAGGACTAAACATAGAACAGCCACTACCATTTGACCCAGCAATCCTATTACTGGGTATTTACCCAAAGAAAAAGAAATTGTTTCATCAAACAGATACCTGCACTTGTGTGTTTATTGCAGCACTATTCACAATAGCAAAGTCATGGAACTAACCTAAATATCCATCAGTGGTTGACTAGAATAAAAAATGTGGCTTGTATGCACCACAGAATACCATGCAGCCATAAAAAAGAATGAAATCATGACCTTTGCTGCAACATGGATGAAGCTGGAGACTATTCCTAAGTAAAATAACTGAGAAGCAGAAAATCAAATATTATATGTTCTCACTGATAAGTGGAAGATAAAAAATGGGATGGGCATGCGTAGACACAAAGATGGAAATAATAGACACTGGTGACTACAAAAGGCGAGAGAGAGGGAGGGGAAAGGATTCAAAAACCTCCCTATCATGTGCTATGTTCACTATTTGGGTGACGGGTTCACCAGGAGGAAACCTCATCATTACACAATAAACCCATGTAGCAGACCTGCACACGTATCTCCTGAACTTAAATTTTTTTAATTAATTAAATAAAAAAAAATAATGAGCAGAAGAAAAAAGTAAGAATACCAAAAAACAATGTTGAGAACCTATTCTTATCCAAAGTACTTACAAGATAAGACATATTTTCATTAGTTAATTAGTTTATGTAAGTGTTGGTATTATGAACCACAAAGTGTAAACTAGACAGTAAATGTTTCTTTACAACAAGATTACATGTTGTATAAAATAGAGCTAAATAAAGAATATCTTTATCACTTCCTTTTAAAACACTTATACTCTAGCAGCATGTAGTTAACTATTTTTGGCTTATGCAAAGAAGATTTTCAGTTGGTATTTTTAAAATTATTATGTTAATTCTCTTCACTATCTGTAGGTGGTTGCACCATTATGCTTTACATTACTCTCAATATGTTCCATATACAGATATATAGGTTTTCTGTGGTTTGAAACACTATAGAAAAAAATAGCCTTGGAAAAATAGAATTCTGATGGATATTAATTTTTAAATAAACTATATTTTCTAGAGATAATTTATACTATCCTAGAGGACAGAAATAAAGATAATGAAGATCTGTAGGTAGACTACAAGCTAGTATCAGCAATTTAAACCATTGTTCTTGCCAGATATTTTATCTCTTTTATCAACAAAAAGCAAAATTAACTAATTTATTGTTGAGAATCATCCTCTTCTTCATTATGATCAACTATTTATTAATAGTATTATTAATCTTCACAAACTAAATCTATTATAGTTATATAGTTTTACTCCCTTTAATAAAAATGGGCTACCCTGGCTATTCTGGGTTGCCTATACAACTCTTTGGTTGTGGGTTGTCTATACAACCCTTTTGGGTTGGCTAACTGGAATGAATTCAGTGTTGTCCTTATGACGTTAATTGGACTGAATTTTCTGGGTATACATTTGCGTTGGTAAATTCAAATGATCAGAAGACATTTTTCATTATGCTGAAATTAGGCATAAAATTTGCCCAAATATAAATTTCCTACAATTTAAAAAACAACAACAACAACAAAAAACTAGCAAACAAATGAGCTGGTCCAGATATAGATAGGGGTACCTTCTTTGGTAACTTCTACCAAATATTTAAGAAAGGAAACTCAATATTACATAAACAAATCAAGAATATTAAAGGTGAAAAAAAGCCTTTCTAAATAGTTTTGTGAACATAGGATGACTTTGATATCAAATCATGACAAAGACCTAATAAGAAAAACAATTCAGGCCAATGGCTATTATTGAACATTGATATCAAGATTCTAAATATATTATTAGCTATATGAATATATTAAGGAATAAAGGGAATTATAAATCAAAACAAATTATGCTTATTCTGGGAACACAATATTTTTCATGATTTCAAGGATGTACACTTATCTGCAAACTCATGAATTAGTTTATGTTAAATATGTACAGGTTTTCATTTGTCCATCATACCTCAAAAGATATTTTAAAACATTTAATTAACAATAAAAATGAATTCATGCAAATTTATACATTACAGGAGAAAATATATACAAAAAAGGGTAATTATAAATGAAAGATTGAGAATTTTATTACATTCAAATTATTAACCTAATGTTTATCAAATAAACCATCAGGGTAGTAAAACTTATATTTCTTAAAAAATTTTAATTGTTTCCTAAAAATTTGAAATACACTTGTACAATGAATTTAGCTCTACTTTTATTAGCACTATACTATTACATGTGTAGTGCAAGTTAACTTGGAATATTATTAACTTGTCTCACAACTCTTACAAGTGTTTTGCCATTCATTTTACTTATCCATGAAACATAATCACGTTGTTATGATGATTTTGGTTAAGTTATGTATAAGAAATATAACTGATATTCTAATAAGGACATAAAATGAAATATAAAATGTTCAGTTAAAACTACAAAAGGCAGAAAAAGAGTGGAACTAACAGAAACAGAGGGCAAAACCAATAAGTAGAAAAAAGTAACAAATATGGTAGATATTAATCCAACTATGTCAATATTCACTTTAAATGTCAGTGGTCTGAATACTCCAATTAAAAGAAAGATGCTAACATAGTGGATTTAAAATAATCATAAACATATGTTCTCTTCAATACACCCATTTTAATATAAAAAATAGATTAAAGTTAAGAATTGGGAAATATTCTATCATGTTAACACTAATAACAAGAAATATTGAGTAGTTATATTAATTTTAGATACAGCCCGCTTTGGAGCAAAAAATAAAATGACTAGAGACAAAGAAGTATATTACATAATTAGGAAGGAGTCCATTTTTAAGAAGATATAACAATTCTCAGTGTGTATGGGCCTAATAACAGAGTGTCGAAATAGGTAAGACAAAAACGGTAAGAAATGCAAGAATAAATGGATTAATACTCCATTGTAGTTGGAGACTTCAATACTCCTCTATCAGTAATTAAAAGATCCAGTAACAGAAAATCACTAAGGACATAATTGAACTCACCAACTTCATCAACCAACTGGATGTAATTTATATGCATAGAGTATTTTATTCAACAACAGAAGAATACACATTTTTTCCAAGCCCATATTAAACATTCAACAGGATAGAACGTATTTTGGGACATAAAACACATCTTAACAATTTTTAAAAATATTAATCACACAAAATATACTGTCTTTGTTCTCAGATAACATGATTGTCTATGCATAAAATTCCAAGCAATCAACAACAAAATACTTGAACTAATAAGCAATTAAAATAAGGTTGCAAGATGCAAGACTAACATACCCAAGTCAACAGAGAATAAATAAAATTTGAAATTAAAATCAAAATTGTATTTACATTAACACCTAAAAATGAAATACTTAGTTAAAAATCTAGTAGAATATGTACAAAATATACATAGGAAAATCATAATACTCAGATGAAAGAAATCAGAGAAGATACAAATAAATGGAAATATGTTTTATATAAATAGAATATTATCCATAGAGGCAACACACTCAATCAAAATCTTAGCAAATAATTTTATGAATGTTGAGAAATAGATCATAAAGTTTATATATGAAGGCAAAACACACAACCTGGCCAACACAATATTGAAAGACAAGACAAACTTGGAAAGCTGACACTACCTGACTTTAAGACTTAGTATAAAGCTAAAGCAATCAAGAAAGTGTGGTATTGGCAAAATATTATACAAATATATATTGGAGTAGAATAGAGTCCAGAAGTAGACCTTCACAAATATAGTCAACTGATTTTTGAGTAAGGAGAAAAGGCAATATATGAATTAAGGATTTTTTCCAGCAAATAGTGCAGGAACAACTGGATAACTTCATTCACAAAATACATAAACAAAAACAAACCAGACACAGATGTACTTTTCAAAAATTAATTTTAAAAATCCAGGTTAAAAATGCAAAACTATAGAACTCCTATAAGATATCATAGAAAAAATTTCCGTTGACCTTGGATTTGGCAGTGACATTTTAGATACAAGAACAAAGGCATGATCTATTTAAAGAAAATAATAAGCTGGTCTTCATTAAAACTTAAAAACTTTGCTCTTCAAAAGACACTGTCAAGACAGTGAGAAGACAAGCTACAGAATAGAAGAAGAATTTTTCAAAAGACATATAGAATAAAAGGACTGTAATCCAAAATATGACAAGAACACAAAGTTTAACAATGTAAAAAACAAAGAACTCAAAAATGGGCTAGTGATCTAAACAGATACCCCATCAAAGAAGGTATACAAATGGCAAATAAGCTTATAAAAAGATGTTCTTCTTTCTCTTTAAGGAGTTGCAAATTAAAACAACAATGAAATACAATTACCCACCTATTAGGAGGGTAAAAATTCAAAACATTGACAAAACCAAACACCAGAGAAAATGTACAGGAACAGGAGCTCTCATTCATTGTTGACCATAATGCAAAATGGTATAAACATTTTAGAAGATATTTGGCAGTTTTTTATTTTTTCTTTTTCAATTCGTATTTTAGAATCATGGGTACATGTGCAGACTTGTTCCAAAGGTATGTTGTGTGATGCTGATGTTTGGGGACTGAATCCATCACTGAGGTAGTGAGCATAGTACTCAATAGGTAGTCTTTCCAGCCTTGCCCCACTCCCTTCCTCTCCTCTGTAGTGGCCCTCAATGCCTACTATTCCCATCTTTATGTCCATGTGTCCCCAGAATTTAGCCTCTAAATAAGGTAAGAGGATGCAGTATTTGATTTGTTGTTTCTGCATTAGCTTGCTTAGGATAATGGCCTCCAGCTGCACCTGTGTTGCTGCAGAGCACATGATTTCATTCTTTTACATTATTGCATAGTATTCCCTGGTGTATATGTATCACATTATCTTTATCCAACCTACCATTGATGGGCATTTGAGTTGATTCCATGTTTTTGCTATTGTGAATAGCACTGTGATGAATACACAGGGATGCATGTCCTTTTGATAGAAATATTTATTTTTCTTTTGGGTATATGCCCACTAATGGGATTGTTGGATTGAATGGTAGTTCAACTCTTACTTCTTTGAAAAATCTCCAAACTGCTCTCCCAATTGGCTGGACTAATTTACATTCTCAACAACAGTGTATAAGTGTCTTATTTTATCTGCAGCCTTGCCAACATCTGTAATTTTTTGGCTTTTTAACAAAATTCATTCTGACTGGTGTTAGAAGGTATTTCATTGTGGCTTTGATTTGCATTTATCTGATGATTGGAGATGCTGCACTTTTTTCATGTTTGTTGCCTGCTTGTGTGTCTTTTCAGAAGTATCCATTCATGTCCTTTGCCTACTTTTTAATAGAGTTCTTTGCTTTTTGCTTTTTTATTTGATTAAGTTCCTTACGGATTATGGAGGTTACACCTTTGTCAGATGCATAGTTTGGGAATGTTTTCTCCCCTTATGTAGTTTGACTGTTTACTGCCTTAGTTTCTCTTCTTGTGCAGAAGCTCTTTAGTTTAATTAGGTCTCACTTGTCAATTTTTGTTTCTGTTGCAGTTGCTTTTGAGGAAATAGATATAAATTCCTTGCCAAGGCCAATATTAAGACAGCTATTGCCTAGGTTTTCTTCTAGTACTTTGATACTTTGAGGTCTTAGACTTAAGTTTTAATCCATCTTGACTTAATTTTTGCATATGGTGACAGGTAGGGGTCCAATTTTATTCTTATTCTTATGTATAGCCAATTATCTCAGCACCATTTTTTGAAGAAGGAATCTTTTCCCCTTTGCTTATTTTTGTCAAATTTTCAAAGATCAGATGGTTGTAGGTGTGTGGCTTTATGTTTGTGCTCTCTATTCTGTTCCATTGGACTATGTGTGTTTTTGTACCAGTACAATGCTGTTTCAGTTACTGTAGTTTTGTAGTATGGTTTGAGGACAGGCAATGTGATGCTTCCAGCTTTTCTTCTATTGGATTAGGATTGCTTTCACTATTCAAGCTTCTTTTTCATTTCATATGAATTTTAGAATAGTGTTTTCTTAATTCTGTGAAAAATGATTTTGGTAGTTTGATAGGAATAGTGTTGAATCTGCAGATTGCTTTGGGTAGTATGGCCATTTTAACAATATGATTCTTTCGATCCATGAGCACAGGATTTGTTTCCATTTATTTGTGTCATCTATGATTTCTTTCAGCAGTGTTTTGTAGTTCTTCTTGTAGAGATCTTTCACCTCCTTTGCTAGATGCATTCCTAGGTATTTTATTTTTTGTCTGTGTGGCTATTGTAAATGGGATTGTGTTCTTGATTTGGCTCTGAGATAGAATATTATTGGTGTATAGAAATGATACTAATTTTTGTACATTGATTTTTTATCCGGAAACTTTACTGAAGTTTTTCTTCAAGTTCTATGAGGCTTTTGGCAGAGTCTTTAGTGTTTTCTAGGTATATAGAATCATATAAATGACAAGGAGACATAGTTTGAATTTTTTTTCCTATTTGGACACTTTTAATTTATTTTTCTTGCCTGATTGCCCTGGCTTCAATTTTCAGTACTATGTTGAATAGGAGTGATGGGAGTGGGCATTCTTCCCTTGTTGTGGGTCTCAAGAGAAATGTTTTCAGGTTTTGCCAATTCCATATAATGTTGACTGTGGGTTTGTCATAGATGGCTCTTATTATTTTGAAGTATGTTCCTTCAATGACTAGTTTTTTGAGGGATTTTACCATGAAGGGATTTAGGATTTTATCTAAAGCTTTTTCCACATCTATCGAGATGTTCATTTAAATATTGTTATTAATTATTTTCATATGGCAAATCATATTTATTGATTTGCAGGTGTTAAAACAACTTTTCATGCCAGTAATAAGGCCTACTTGTTCACAGTGAATTTACTTTTTGTTGTGTTTCTGGATTCAGTTTGCTAGTATTTTGTTAAGAATTTTTGCATCAAGGTTCATTAGGGATATTAGCCTGAAGTTTCACTTTTTTGCTGTGTCTCTATATTTGGCAATTTTGTATAAAACTAAACATATACTTGATTACAATCCAGCAATTGTACTCTTTTGTATTTCACCTAATTATTTGAAAATTGTGTCTACACAATAACCTGCATACACATGTTTAGAGAAGTTTTATTTGTAATTACCTCAACTTGAAAGCAACCAAGATGTTTTTCATAGGGGAATGAATAAACTGTGGTACATCTATACAATGGAATATTATTCAGTAAAAAATAAATAAATGAAAATAAAATGACCTATCAAGCCATAAATAAACAAGCAGGCACCCAAAATGCATAATTCTAAGTGACACAGGTCAATGTCAAAATATTACATACTCTATCATTCCAACTATATAACACTCTGGAAAGGGCAAAATTATGGAGACAGTAAAAGATCAGTGATTGCCACGTTTCAGAAGGTGGGAATAAATAGGTGGAGTACAGGATTTCAAGGGCAGTGGGACTATTCTGTGTTATAGTAGTATAATGGTGGATATACATTATATATTTGTCAAAACCCATAGTATGTACAATACTAAAAGTGAAACTTGATATAAACCATGGAATTTAGCTAATAATAATGAATCTATATTGGCTCATCAATTGTAACTAATGTATCACATTAATGCAATATAATAATAAGGGAAGCTGTGTGTGATTGAGTATATGGGAACTCTTTGTACTTTCCATTTAATTTAATTTATTTTTTTTTGAGATGGAGTCTTGCTCTGTCACCCAGGCTGGAGTGCAGTGGCGCGATCTCGGCTGACCGCAAGCTCTGCCTCCTGGGTTCACGGCATTCTCCTGCCTCAGCCTCCCAAGTAGCTGGGACTACAGGTGCCCGCCACCACGCCCGGCTAATTTTTTTTTTTTTTTTGTATTTTTAGTAGAGATGGGGTTTCACCCTGTTAGCCAGGATGGTGTCCATCTCCTGACCTCGTGATCTGCCCACTTCGTCCTCCCAAAGTGCTGGGATTACAGGCGTGAGTCACCGCACCCGGCCCCATTTAAATTTTATAAATCTAAAATTTCCCTAGTAACTAGTCTACTGATAAAAAAAAATAAGTTGGACTATTCTTACATGTGTATTCTTCTTGGTCTCATTTCAGTGTGCTTCATGTAATAATAAATAGCTTATTTTGCTTTGAAATCAGATAAATAAAAGTTCGAATTCAGGCTCTGTGACATCTTTTATATTATATTGGAAAAGTTACTTTGTCATTGTCTCACTTTTCTCATCTGTAAATTGTTCTTAACATTGCATTCTCTGCTGGCACAATGTGGACTTTTTCTATTTTTTTAGTTTTTATATACAGAAATATATTATGTGTGTTGTCCTGTTTGGGTCAATTAGATCCACTCTCATACCCCTTTCTCTCTTTCACTCATATTAAGAGATCAGATCATTTAATCTCTTACTAGTATAATCACCGTGGGCTTATGTGGAGATCAACGGAAGATATTTCTCCACTAGAGAATAGCTAAGGGACTGTCCCTAGGACAGAGGCATTGGCCAGACATGTTTATTAGAACACATTATCATCATCTCTGTTCTTCTTTCAAAGCCAGGCTAACCTGTGTCTTAGAGACTGCTTAGTGCAAAGAAAAAAAAAATCTAAGAATTGAACAGAGAGCAATAAATTTCTCCACCGTGTTCTAGAGTTTTGTTTGTTTGTTTTTTGCACTATCCCATATTGGAATGTGAGACTCTCTGAATATTGAAAAGATAATGTCTCTAATACATGTATGGAACATTTTGCTGTTTATGAAGTACTTGTACATTTCTCATTTCATTTGATTTTTGCAACAATGCTGTGAGGTCTTTCTGGCCAAAGTCTGAACTATGATTAACATGATTAGGCAACATACATTTCTTCAGGTTTTTGATAGAGACCTGACATTTCTATGTAGTTTAAAATAAAGAATAGATATTCTTACTTCATTTCCTTCCTAACCTTGTGACTTTCATGATTCATTCTTAATGTAACTAATAACTCCACTTTACATTAAGTAATTATGTTGTGTGTGCAAACATGTATGTTCTTTATTGCTGCTGTTATTTTTAGCAGATGTGTCTTTTTTCATTGCCACCATGCTGTATTATTTCTCTCTTTGGCCAACTTATTTCGACCATTATTTTTATATGCACATTTGTGTTTGCAATAAACATTTTTAACTTATGCAAAAAGATATTAATATATAAATCTTATGGTACAAGCTAATGTTTTATCTAATCATAAGAAATAAGAAGCTCTGTTATCTAATTCTGTTTGCTCTAAGAAGCACTAGACCAGCACCTTTGCAATGGACATTTCTTAGAATCGCAATTACAGTAGCATTCATTTTTCAGTATGCCTTATAATCTGTAACTTTTAAATGCTTTTTGATGCTATATTTTAAGGTGATTGTATTCATTCAATTAAAAATGAAAAATTAGATATACGTGCAATTTAGTTAAATGGCCAGAATTTAATTCCCTTCCCATTTTGCAGTTTCTTGTATTTTGGAAATGTCTCTGCTCATTAAGCTCACTTCAGACATGCATCTCCATTCTGTAAGTCCTCTCAAGTGGGCAACTATTCTTATTCAAAAGATAAATATGCAGGGTACTGAAATGTACAGGCTTGTCACATAGATCAAATTAGTGATTAAACCAGCAAGAAGATTTAAAATTTGGCCTTTCCTTTCCTTTAATCATCTGACATATTTTCTTCCATTAAAATCCATACTTTGACCACTCTATGGCACTTTTTAAAAGCAAATTTTATATTTTTCAAAAATAAAATTTTATAATTGATCGTGGGCTCACAAGGTTACTTGGAGTCAATTTATTGAAACAACATTTCTTTCAGAAGCATATTTCAGAATAAGTGTGGAGAACAGTTTTATACTTGCAAGGTGTAAACTTCAGTCAAAAGGGAGGCCAGAGAGCATAATTATTAAAAGAGTGTTGTGGCATTGATCTAGTGGTGACACTGATTTGCCATTGCCCCTTTTTAGACAACAGAACATTTTTACTCTAACATAATTTTTATTTTGCTACTTTTTGATTATTTTCTGCTAAAATTAGGCAACCAAGTATACAACATTAAATTTTGGAGAAAGATTTCTTTACAAAGAGTTTCTGCTAAGCGAAATAGAATTTAGAATGTGTTAGTCTTGGAATTTTTATCATAGACTATTATATATGCTATCATAATTAAAATATTTGGAATTGAAATAGTTGAAAGGCCATCATAATTGAAATAATTGGGCTACAGAAATATAACATAACAGAATTTTAGTTTCATATTTGTTTGTGCCTAAGGGATTGAATTTCCATCCAGAAACCATAACCAGAAGCTTTAATAAAGCAGGTTTTTTGTATTTAAGCATGTGTAAGATTAATTTGTGATACAAGATACTGCATTAATTAATCCTTTGAATGGAAATTACCTTAACTCCTTGCTATTTCTTGATTTTAATCAAATGTACTTGCTGTTTTGGTTATAATAAATACTAATTTGCCTTCTATTTCTAATTTATGGTAACTTAAATATGAGTTTAATTTATTTATATTTTATAAATAAATTGTCTAAGAAATTATTTAACCAAAATAAGTGGTGAGTAGTGAAAAAAAAATTTTGAAACATTTTTACAGTGCACAATTATATGTGCAAATCTAATTTTATTACAGATAGGTTGTACCTATCCATCAAATCTTATTTTATTTGACCTGTGATATAGATTAGAGTTAACAGAGAATACTCTGTTCAATACTTTTCATGTTAACAAGTATTCATTATCTATGTGCAAAATACAAGAGAAGACATCGTGGAAATACATGAAAAGAGTAAGATGTGATTATTATTCTTAGGGAATTTACAGGAGTGAGGGGATGATAGAAGTTTATATATTAGAGAATTAGAAAATAATACTAGTGATTTGGATAATTACAAGCAGTAATGAGGGAGACAGAACTGATCTCAATTCAGCTTAACTGCCTGAATCATTTTGAACATATTCAATGTAAGATAAAATTGCACAAATAGGTAAAATAATGAAGGTCTGTGAAAACCAATCATAATGGAATGAAAGACAGATATTATAGGTGTTTTCTGTAGGAGATATTACTTAGATTCTCATTGGGTATATTGCACAGTAGTGAAAGAAAATTGTAAATTATGATAAATATTTTCATAGACTGATAATATTTTTATTAACATGAAGGAGGTCATACATAGAGATATTCAAAGTACAAATTTCAGAAGATTATTAATTTAGTTTGGAATATGTTTACTACAATAATAATTGGTAAATCACTTACACCTGCATAATTAACAAGTATTCTGGATTCTCTATACTGTGTGTTAGTGTTAGACAACAGAGACTCATTTCTTCCTGCTTTGTTTTGAGTGTGGTCTGATATGTACAGATCTGTTGTTAAATGTCTGATCTTTCTACAACTACTCAAATCATTTCTTTAAGTTGCCCTCAGTTCTTGACATTGTTACAATAGTTACTGTCTTAGTCCATTTCTTGCTGCTATAGCAGAATACCCGCGACTCAGCAATTTACAAATAACAGAAATTTCTCATAGCACTGAAGGCTGAGAAGTCCAAAATTAGAAATCTGGCAAGTTTGACATCTGGTAACAGATCTGTCTCTGCTTTCCGGATGGTGCCTTGCATGCAGCATTATTTGAAGGGGAGAAATACTGTTTCTCAAATGGCAGAGAAACAGAAGAGAGCGAACTTATTTCCATAAGCACTTTTCATAAGGGCCTTAATCCATTCATGAGGGTGGAGCCCTTAAGACTTAAACTTATCTCCCATTAGGCCCCATCACCCAACACTGATGCATTGAAGATTAAGCTTTCAACATATGAATTTGGAAGGGACAAAAACGTACAAACCATTGTACTTGCTATACTACCAAGCATCAAAATGAGTTATGCTGTCCCTGTCTGACAATGTGGCTTTTGATTTTCTACTGTTTCCTAAGGTTTCGGTGGCCATATCATGTCACCTTTACTAGTACAAAGTTCTAAGTGTCATGAAGAAGTTCGCCGTCATACTTGGTGGATGTTTTGAAATGAATTTTATCAGTTTCTCCCAATAAGTTTTGTTAGAATAAAATTTACCCACGTTAGTTTCAAATTGGAAGTGGCAGTACCAGCAATTTTTGAAGTCTGCCTTGGACACATTTTGGGTTTTAAATTATTGGACAGCTTACTCAGAACACCTTCTACCACTAATGAGTATAGTGGGGCAATGTATGATGTGGAGACACAGTCTCAGATGTTACATTCTCCATTCTTCACAAAATACAAAATGATCACTTCAGTTTATACTTCCTCTTTCTATTAAAATAAATATCACAAGAAAAAAATGGAGTAAAAGAAAAGATACATTAAATAAATAAAATAAATGGCTGAGAACTGTACTTCATTTAATGGTGAAATTGATAACTGTCTTAATATTGTAAACCAGAAGAATTTGTTATCTCATCCTAATTTACTGCTGGTATTTATCATCATTGAAACAAACAATTAACTGTCCATCTTTCTTCAGAAAGCACCTTAGCTCAGTATTTTTCAATGATAAAATAATTTAATAATCCCTGATATACTAAATAAGGTGTGCATCTCTAAGAAAATGATTGATCTTTTACTAGTTTACCAGTCAGCAAGTATTATATTTATTGAGTATCCATAATATAATAGGCACTGTGTGGTAAAAAAAAAGAAGTATAATTAGCTTACTGATTAATCAAATATTGAGCGCTTGAGTGACAGATCTTGCCCTTGAGCAAAAAGATACAATACAGATGAAGATATTAACACATGAACCAATTAAGAAATAATATAAAGAAATATCGGCAGGGCATGGAGGCTCACACCTGTAATCTCAGCACTTTGGGAGGCCAAGGCGGGTGGATCACCTGAGGTCAAGAGTTCAAGACCAGCCTGCCCAACGTGGCTAAAAATACAAAAAATTAGCCGGGTGTGGTGGCTGTAATCCCAGCTACTTGGGAGGCTGAGACAGGAGAATTGCTTGAACCTGGGAGGTGGAGGTTGCAGTGAGCTGAAATCGCGCCACTGCACTACAGCCTGGGTGACAAGAGCGAAACTCCATCTCAAAAAAAAAAAAAAAAAATTCTAATCATATTCTAAGAGATATAATGCAGATTTTGACACAAAAGGAATTATAATCTTTGCATGGCTGAAAAAAAGGTAATGAGGAGAAGCTAATGCACAAAGTATAAAATGATAAATTTAAAAATTCTCAGAATCCTAAACATTAATATGGAATACACATATTAGAAGAAATTTCTTAGCCTAAAACTTTAACAGAATTGTGAGTGGTAGTTTTAATATTTCATTAAAAATTCTATAAGAAATTAATTTAAAAATGTACTTTGATTCTTATTTATCTTTACAGAAATAATAGTTTTTATAAATCCTAGACCTTCAAGCATCTTAGAATTCATATTATCCAACTTTTTAATTTTATCAATGAGAAAAGCATAGCACACAGTAATCCTATACTTCTATATGTAAATTTTTCATTTTTATTTTTAAGACATCAAAGTGAAGATTAATCTTCTGTGAAAATAAAGATATTACTTTGAAGGATATTTTCTCTTACAGTCAAACCAACTAGAATAAATATATTATGAATTTTATGTTACATTTGAGATGAGAGATAAGAGTTTAGGACAGAGAAGCTTAGGTTTAATAGTTCTTGACTTCACATTTTACAAAATACCCAGGTCAAAATTGGTGAAGATGATGTATATACACTAACTATGGATTTGGTATATGAAAATCATAAAGCAAGTGTTTCAGTTTTTGAGTAAAAATGAACAGCTTAATACATCTGGAAGGCAGAACAGAATATGTTTCAGCATACAAAAGTAAAACTCTCCGTGATGATTAGCAAAACAAAACATCCAAAATCCAAAGCAATCAGAGAGGCTAACAAAACAGACAGAATTGAAAATCCCAGGCATTCTCA
Organism: Homo sapiens; assembly: GCF_000001405.40. NCBI lineage: Eukaryota > Metazoa > Chordata > Mammalia > Primates > Hominidae > Homo > Homo sapiens. The sequence goes on along the minus strand of NC_000024.10, from coordinate 4,157,351 downwards.
TTGCACAGTAGAATATATTTATCTTAATCAAAATCTACTTTCATCTCTCGTTCCTACATACAGTGTGCAAACATGACAACGATGTAAAATGAGGCTATGACTGTTGTGACAGGAAAACTGCCCATGTCTGTTTGCCAAGAAATCAGCCAAAACAGAGAGAATGAATGGAAATTTTCCAGGAACATAAAAGTGAATTGAGCAGCAGTTTGTCCCTAGGCTAGTTCCAAGTTGAATATATGTGCTGCCAAACTGAGTACATGTTGTTTTCTCTTTTTTACATTTTAATTTGTTTGTATTTGCCATATTAGTGTTGAAAGTAGCTAATATTAATCAAATTCAAACTCTAACATTTAGAATTTTACACAAAATGTAACCCTTTCCTCATAAATTTACATATTTCTAGTTTTCTACATTTTATTAGTTTATATTGTCATCGATAATATTATTAACAATGATAATGATAGTCACTTTGTTTTATTTGTTGTGTCTTGGCTTAAGCTAAAACAATCAATATTTTAAATAGTTTTCCTTTTGTGTTTTTGTGTTTGTTTGTTTTTTCCATTGTCTTTGGTTTACATTTCTTTTCTCACTTTGCTTATATCACTGTATTGTCTCTATTTAGTGTAAGGTCAAAAGGGAGAGCTTCCCTTTTACCCTCTGAAGATTTGCTGAAAATGAACTGACTAAAGGCAGATTAATCGGAGAAAAAGGTATATAAAATTTATTTAATAGGCATAAACATAGGGGAACTAGAGTAGGGTTATGCAATAACCCAAACAGATCAAGATGCTTATTTACCTGTCTTCATAGGGGAAGGGGAGATGGAGGTTGTGGGATTAAATGATTTTCAGGGGAAAAGAATGAGGTCCAAAAGCAATGGCATGTTACAAAGATTTTCTGAGCTCTGAGGGAGATGGTGGAAAGGCGAGGGCTGGGGCTTTACAGTGAGTAAATGTTTTATTATGCAAATAAAATCTCAGAACTGTCATTAGAATAGATGCAAAGTCTATCTGGACTTTCTGATGAATCCTAGTCTCTTTCTTCCTTCTGTGGTTAATCTTTCTCATTATTTGATGATATTTCTAGGGAGGGAATTTTAAAACTATTACATTTCTTATGAAAGAAGTTTTCTTAGTTAAGAAAATTTTAAAGACAGTCCCTTCTGGTTATCACCAAAGAAAAAAGATCATCTTTAACAATAACATGGATAATTGATTTCTTACTTAAAAAATAGAAAAAGGAACACAGAGATAGCGGACAAGGGAAGGTAAGAGAGAGACAGTGGTTGAGAAGCTTATTATTGAGGCCTTTCAATTTTCTTTAATTCAAAACACTTAGCATACCACAGTGCCATATTTTGGAGTACCATTTTCCATTTTCTGTAAACCAACATGAGAAATGGTAGTCCAACAGAATTTTGTTAAGATGAATGTTTACAATTTTAAATTTAGAATGATAGATACTCTTAGATAAAAACTCATTAGTTTTCTAGATCAGAGCATTTATAAAAAGGATTAAGAAATGAGATATTAGAAAAATCTTGCACATAATACCCAAAAGGGTAGGAAATGAAATATTTAATTATTTTGTTTAAATTAGAAATCTAGAACTATCTTTTTTTGTTTTTTACTGAATTGTATTTTATATATTACAACCATATTCTGTTGTCAATTTTTAAATAATTATACAAAATAATAAGTAATCAAATTGGGCTTACTTTTATTATCCTTAATTTTTTATACTGAACATTTTATATCTTTTTTATTGCTAAATATAAATATCAAATCTATACAGATGGAAAATATTATAAATATGATTTCTCGTGGATATTATTTCATGTAAAAACTGATTTAGAATTCATTTGCTGTAGATTCTTCTGTAACATGAAATACTTTTCAAAGGTAAAATCACATTTGGTTTTCTAAGCAACTGCCAATATTATTTTGTATGTAGATATTCATGAAATGATAGTTCTAAAAATCATTGAGAATTCCACGAAAAATCAGAAATGAATTATAGATGAAATATTTAAAAGTTTCCATTTGAACACATAGACAAGTATGAGGGCCTTTCTTAGGGTGATTTTCCTCTAGATTATATAAAGAAAACACAGTGAAATTTTCATAAAGTTGTTTAGAATTTATCAGCTATAGTTTGAAAAAAATTATAAAGTGGCTTTTGTTTGGCAATGCTACATAGCTTTAGAAGCTGATGAAGTGTATAATTTTTTTTAAGTGAGAATTAAATTTAGGTCACTTTTAAAAAATGCCCACGTGTTCAAGTTGGCTGATATTTGTGGTTTTATGTGACAGATTCTGAGTAGTTTATGGTTTCAGCTACTTTTTTTTATAAGTACGATTTTGAGTAATTTTTCTGTCACTGTAGATCTTTAACTCAGGCTTTTAAAAAATTATGCATTTATATTATCTTTTATATCGTTTGTAGTTTATTCTATGTAATAGGCCACTAGAAAACCAGCCTTATATATTTATTTTTGAAATTGCATTAAGTATACTATTTCAAATTATCAAAATTGAATAGTTCCTGGCACTTTATTAAATTTACATTTTATATTATAATGAATAATACATTAAGCTTTACACATTAAATACATATCATTTTACGTAGTCATTACAACAGTTCCTTAAAGAAGGCATTATTAGCATTTTACAGATAATATAGAACGGAACCCGAGTCCATTTGTTACAGTAGTCAGATAGTCAGGCATGAGCAGGGCAGGAGAGGGCTCCGCCTCACCGCGAACATCAGGCAACCATCAGGTAAGGGTCAGGTGGTTGTTACCTGTCTCTCTAAAATAATAATTGATCACAGCTGGCACCAGCAGAAGGCAATCTCCCTATAGATAGAAAAAAAACTGAAACTGGTGATCAGCAGCTTTCTGATAACATCTCGGGAATTGGGGGAGTGAGCTCAAACATGTGAAGTGAGAGGCAGAAAGTTGGAGTTTAACTGGTAAATGACCTTTCTAGGAGCATTCGGCTGGTAAGGGAAGAATGCCTCAAGTGAGCATGTGTATAACGTCAGTAAACACACTGCACATGCTCAGCTTCCAAGTACTGCACATGCAGACACCCAACCCCAAGAGAAGAATCAAGGGAGAAGGGACGCAAGACCGCAGAAGTATGCCAACATATAAAACATATAAGTCAGGCCAGGCGTGGTGGCTCACGCCTGTAATCCCAGCACTTTGGGAGACTGAGGCGGGTGGATCACGAGGTCAGGAGATGGAGAACATACTGGTCAACATGGTGAAACCCCGTCCCTACTAAAAATACAAAAATTAGCTGGGCGTGATGACACGCGCCTGTAGTCCCAGCTACTCGGGAGGCTGAGGCAGAAGAATCTCTTGAACCCGGGAGGTGGAGGTTGCAGTGAGCCAAGATCGGGCCACTGCACTCCAGCCTGGCGACAGAGTGAGACTCCATCAAAAAAAAAAAAAAAGAAAGAAAGAAAAGAAAAGAAAAAAAAAAAACACCCAAGTCAAAAGGTCAAACCGCACACTTGTCTTTTAAGTGGCCTGCTTGACTCTCTTCCAAGTGTACTTTACTTCCTTTCATTTTTGCCCTAAAGCATTTTGATAAACTTTTCTCCTGCTCTAAAGTTTGCCTTGGTCTTTTCTTCTACCTTATGCCCGTCAGTTGAATTCTTTCTTCTGAGGCGGCAGGAATTGACTTTGCTGATATATTTCGGTGCGCTGTGACTCGGATAACTTTCACCGCTAACATACATTGGCACCGCTTGGCTAGGATCCATGCCCTAATCGTAAGAGATCTCTATGCCTCGCCTTCTTTGGCTGGAGGTGTTCAACACCCATACATGGTTTTCTTCTCCCTTTCTCTCTTCTGCTTACTAACTAACACCCAGAACAATTCCTTTCAGACATTAGTGACCCTGCTCCTCCTGGCTGATCTCTCAGCTCACCCTGATGGATGGCTCATCATAGTGGAAAGGACGTTGGGGTTCACATGGAGTAGGACTGAAGCACTAATGGCCCTCCTGGACAGGAAGCTCACGAGAATGCTAGAGCTAAAGTCTAAAACCGTGCAATGTCTGGGTTTCCTCTGCTTTTTCATCTCAAATTGGCTCTTTCCCAAGAATTCACAATGTCTATTCTCCTGTTTTCTCTGTGTGTGTTCTGAAATGGCCTTGCACACCTGCCAGACCATCTGCCTTGGGGGTAAGTCTGCTCTTTGCTTTCACTTTGCAGGTCACGTGACTTCTTAAATATACACTCCCTGCTATTCATGTGCCCACAGCTGTTTTACTGGGTTTGTGAGGCAGCAAAGACATGGGCTCCCTTGGGGATATCTCCTGAGATTTATATTTGCTTTTACCCTACCAGCTCGGATGAACTCCAACCCTTCCCCTTTCTGCTGGCACATTGCTGGGACAGACACTAATCGGAACACTGGCTCTGTCAGGTCCTTATGACTTACCATATGATTTTCATTCCTGTTACTCCCCAGGGCCAAGTTTTCCCCTGTGCAGGCGGACAAATTGCTTCAAAAGCCATTGGTTTCAAAAGCCACTGCTTTTGAAGCAGTTTGTGAGCCTGCATAGGGCCTCACGCAGGCCCTTTAAGGATCGCACCTACTTGCTTTTTTTTTTTTAGTTAGCACCACTTTGGGAAGAGAGGAAATTCTTCCTTTGCCATTTGTGAATTCTTTAAGTTCCGGGATACATATGCAGGACGTGCAGTTTTGTTACGTAAGTAAACATGTGCCATGGTGGTTTGCTGCACCTATCAACCCAACACCTAGGTATTAAGTCCCGTGTGCATTACCTATTTATCCTGATGCTCTCCCTCCCGCAAACTCCCTGTCCCAAAAGGGCCCAGTGTGTGTCATTCCCCTTCCTGTGTCCATGTGTTCTCATTGTTCAGCTTCCACTTATAAGTCAGAACGTGGTGTTTGGTTTTCTGTTCCTGTGTGAGGATAATGGCTTTGGATTTGCTGAGGATAATGGCTTCCAGCTCCATCCATGTCCCTGCAAAGGACATGATCTCTTTCTTTTTTATGGCTGGATAGTATTCCATGGTGCATATATACTATGTTTTCTTTTTTTCAGTCTACCATTGATGGGCATTTGGGTTGATTCCATGTCTTTGCTATTGTAAATAGTGCTGCAATGAACATACATGGGCATGTATCTTTATAATAGAATAACTTATATTACTTTGCGTATATACCCAGTAAAGGGATTGCTGGGTCAAATGGTATTTCTGGTTCTAGGTCTTCAAAGAATAGCCACACTGTCTTCCACAATGATTGAACAAATGTATATTCCCACCAACAGTATCAAAGCACTCCTGTTTATCCACAGCCTCACCAGCATCTGTTGTTTCTTGACTTTTAATAATCACCATTCTGAGTGGCGTGATATGGTATCTCAATATACTTTTGATTTGCATTTATCTAATGATCAGTGATGTTGATTTTTCATATGTTTGATGGCCACATAAATGTCTTCTTTTGAGAAGTGTTTGTTCGTGTTCTTTGCCCACATGTTTTTTTTTTTTTTTTGAGACAAAGTCTCACTCTGCCACCCAGGCTGGAGTGTAGTGACGCAATCTCAGCTCACTACAACCTCCATTTCTCAGGCTCAAGCAATTATTTAGCCTCAGCCTCCTGAGTAGCTGGGACTATAGGCACCCACTGCCACACCCAGCTAATTAGCTTTTTTTTTCTTTTTTTTTTTTTAATAGTGGAGACACTTTCACCATGTGGCCAAGTTGGTCTTGAACTCCTGACTTCAAGTGATCCACCCACCTTAGCCTCCCAAATTCTTTGCCCATGTTTTCTTGTAAATTTAAGTTCCTTTTAGATTCTGGATATTAGATCTTTGTCAGATGGATAGACTGCAAACATTTTCTCTTCCATTCTGTAGGTTCTCTGTTCACTCTGATGATAGTTCTTTTGCTGTGCAGGTGATCTTTAGTTTAATTAGATCCCATTTGTCAATTTTTGCTTTTGTTGCAATTACTGTTGATGTTTTCATCATGAAATTTCTGTCCATGCCTATATCCTGAATAGTATTGCCTAGGTTGTCTTCTAGGGTTTTCATAGCTTTGGTTTTTACATTTAAGTCTTTAATCCACATTGAGTTAATTTTTGTATTAGGTGTAAAGAATGGGTCCAGTTTCAATTTTCTGCATTTGGATAGCCAGTTTTCCCAGCACTATTAATTAAATAGGGAATCTTTTTCCTATTGCTTGTATTTTTCATGTTTTTGAAAGATCAGATGGTTGTAGATGTGGTCTTATTTCTATTCTCTATTCTGTCCCATTGGTCTATGTGTCTGTTTTTGTACCAGTACCATGCTGTTTTGGTTACTGTAGCCTTGTAGCATAGTTTAAAGTCAGGTAGCATTATACCTCCAGCTTTTTTCTTTTTGCTTAGGATTGTCACAGCTACATGGGCTCTGTTTTGATTCCATATGAATTTTGAAGTAGTTTTTTTCTAATTCTGTGAAGAATATCAATGGTAGTTTAATGAGAATAGCATTGAATCTATAAATTGCTTTGGGCAGTATGGCCATTTTTATGGTATTGATTCTTCCTATCCATGAGCATGCAAAGTTTTTCTGTTTGTTTGTGTCAAATCTGATTTCCTTGAGCAGTGGTTTGTATTTCTACTTGAAGAGGTCCTTCATTTTCTTTTTTAGCTGTATTCCTAGGTATTTTATTCTCTTTGTAGCAATTGTGAATTTGGAGTTAATTCATGATTTGGCTCTCTGCTTGTCTGTTGTTGGCGTATTGGAATGCCTATGATTTTTGCACATTGATTTTGTATCCTGAGACTGCTGAACCTGCTTATCAGCTTAAGAAACTTTTGGGCTAAAACAAAGGAGTTTTCTAGATAAAAGATCATGTCATCTGCAAACAGAGACAGTTTGAATTCCTCTCTTTTTATTTGAATGCCCTTTATTTCTTGCTCTTGCCTGATTGCCCTGGACAGAACTTCCAATACTATGTTGAATAGGAGTGGTGAGAGAGGGCGTCCTTGTCTTGTGCCGGTTTTTAAGGAGAACGCTTCCAGCTTCTGCCCATTCAGTATGATATTGGCTGTGGGTTTGTCATAAATGGCTCTTATTATTTTGAGGTGTATTCCATCAATACCTAGTTTATTGAGAGTTTTTAACTTAAAGGGATGTTGAATTTTATCGAGGACCTTTTCTGCATCTATTCAGATAATCATGTGGTTTTTGTCTTTAGTTCTGTTTACATGATGAATTACATTTATTGATCTGTGTATGTTGAACCAGCCTTGCATCTTGTGGATGAAGCTGACTTGATTCTAGTGGATAAGCTTTTTGATGTGCTGCTGGATTCAGTTTTCCAGTATTTTCTTTAGAATTTTTGTGTTGATGTTCATCAGGGATATTGGCCTGAAGTTTCCTTTTTTTGTTGTATCTCTGCCAGGTTTTGTTATCAGGATGGTGATGGTCTCATAAAATGAGTTAGGCAGAAGTCCCTTCTTTTCAATTGTTTGGAATATTTTCGGAAGAAATGGTAGCAGGTCCTTTTTGTACCTCTAATAGAATTTGGCTGTAAATTTGTCTGGTCCTGGGCTTTTATTGGTTGGTAGGCTATTTATTACTGCCTCAATTTCAGAAATTGTTATTGGTCTACTCAGGAATTCACCTTCTTCCTGGTTCAAGCTTGGGAGGCTGTATGTGTCCAGGAATTTATTTATTCTAGATTTTCTAGTTTATTTGCATAGAGGTGTTTATAGTACTCTCTGGTGGTTGTTTGTATTTCTGTGGGGTCAATGGCAACATCCCCTTTATCATTCTTTATTGTGCCTATTTGATTATTCTCTCTTTTCTTCTTATTAGTCTAGCTAACAGTCTATTTTATTAATTTTTTCAGAAAACCAGTTCCTGGACTCATGGGTTTTTAAGGGTATTTTGTGTATCTATCTCCTTCAGTTCTGCTCTGATCTTGGTTATTTCTTCTCTTCTGCCAGCTTTGGGGTTTGTTTCTTCTTGGTTCTCCCCAAAAGGGGAAACTTGGGAACTGATGGGACTATAGCCACCCAAACTTTTGATTCAGTGTCGCTGCAATGGCTGGGTCTTTCTCTGGTCTCCCTGAGCTCCTCACCTTTCCCACCCCACCACAGACAATGCTTTTCTTTCTTTTTATTTTTCTTCTTCTTTTTTTATTTTTATTTTCTCTCTTCTGTTACGCAGGGCGACTATGTTGTCCAGAGACCACATGTTGAAACTCCTGGTTGGAATCTTTCCACTGCACTTTCAATGGATTAAAGATGGCAGGGCCCAACTGGGGGCAAGTTTGAGTCTTGCCAGTTTGATATTGGGTCCTAAGCCAAGTAGCTAATGTCTGTTTTGTCATGCATATTTTGCTCTTGCTGAAATGGAAAATGTTATTTTGGTTACGCTCCGCAGCCACTTGCGTGGCATCTTACAATATTGAGAGGCTTTTGGCCTGTGGTTTCATGAAATGGGAAAAGATAACTTTCCTTTGTGTTGCAGTTATGATTCAGCAAACAGGATCATGAGGGCCACTCAGAGAAAGGGAACCCAGAAACCTGGAATGCCGGCAAAAGGGTAAAAAATTTTCACCAGTCAGATTTCTGGCCACTCTCTCTCTGTGCAAATGAGCTGTAGGAGTGGTAAAAAGCACTGTCTCCTCTGCAAAGTTTTCGTTAGTGAGAAAAAGGATTCATGAGGCCACTCTTAAGCTGAAACAAACCTGGTTTGCTTTCTGCTATGAATTTTTCTTTCTGTTTCATTCTTTCATAAAGAGGGGTACCTTAGGGTAGAATGTGAACCTAGGATGCCTGTAAGCCCACTGTTCAAGCCAGCCTGGCAAACTGGTCAGTTACAAAATTTGCTGCAGTTCTGTGATACCAAAAGAAAACAACAAAATAAAAAAGTGGATGAAGATTTTCTCTCGTCTTGTTTTACGTCCTTGAGAGCTTGATTTTGTAACCAGGTGGCAGTACTTTTTCTTCATCTTCAGTATCCAAATGGCAGAAATTTTGGAGTTCATGCCATAGTTAGCTCTAAGAATTATCTTGAGCAAGCCAAAAGCCATCGCAAGCTCCAAACTGACTGCTCTAGGCTCCTTCTGGGAAGAGCAATAAAAACTGCCAAATGCTGTAGCATGGTAGCTAAGGCTTTGTCTTTTCCCAGTGGTGACATGAGTTCAGGGTTCAATTCCTGGCTTAGGAAAGAGTACTTTCTGGTTGACATTTGTGTGACATTTGCCATTTGTTGATTCTCTGCCCCTCCAGGAACAACTTGTGAGTTCCCTTCTTGAATTGTATTTCCTCTGACCTAACTTCGGAGATTCTAGGTATTATAAAAACCGTTAACTGCCTCTTTGAAAATACCTTGTACACTCATGGTTAAGTCATAACTTTAGTTAAGGCCTATTGGTTTCACCTATGAGGTTTATTTTGGTAAAGTTTAAAAGCCAGGAATATTCGCTGTTTGGCCTAGCTAAAGTAGGGTGATAAGAGATTTAGAAAGATTTTTTTAAAGAGCAGTGTGGTTAAAAGTCAGCTTAAATAAAAGCAGATATCCAAGTCCAAGCTATGCATATATTTAAAAGGCCTTTACATTTTTTTCTCTTCTTGAATCATGTTTTCCTGAAAAAAAAAAAAAAGGTTTTTCTTTCTTGTCAGTTGACTGAATAGTTGTTCTCCATTTTGTCTTCTTGCCACTCTTAATGCACACATAAGAGAACCTAAGATAATTCCTAAGACAGTTTCTCCTTGGGATAAAGAGAGGAGGCAATACAGACCCCATTTTGGGAAAAACTTCCTTTTTCCCTCATGAAGCTCTAGGAATCAAAAGCAGATAAAATTCCTCTCAAAATCTAAAGCTCTGTTCCACTTTGAATGATGTTATCTGATTTTTTTTTTTTAACTTTTGGGGGTATCAGAAATTACTTTGAATTATGAGAGAGTTTTGGTGTGTAATAACTGGGTAAGAAATATACTTTTAGGGATGGCTAATGGCAGTTACGGTGAGATACTCAGTGCTTTACACATTTGGATCAGAGAAGCGTGCTCTTGGCCACCTAGAAAGTCTGGAAATGATTCCACCTCTCACTGAGAGATAAGAATCCCATGGGAAATGGGCCGATTTTTCTCTTTTTTTGGGATCTAGGATCTGGTATAAAAATGGTACCCTTAACTTTTGGGGATCCATTTTGCATCCAGCTATGACTGCTTATTAGACCCTAGAAACTGCATGCTTTCCTGACATTGTATCTCAAGGTGCTCCACCCTGAAGCCAGTAATCCAATTAAGAAACTTAAAAACTGGCAAATGGAAAACCTTACATTACTGGATTTTCTGTCTTTCTGTGTATTTATATGTGTTGTATGTGTGATGTTTATATATGAAAGAGCTCCGATTAATTGGCTTAAAAATAATAAGTGCTTCAATCAAGTATTTTGCCAGAAAAATAAAAACTATAATGCCTTTTCATTCATGTGACTTACGTAATGTTTGGGAATTAAAGACGGGTTTAAATATTAATGGTAAAATAAAAATATATTCAAAAATTTAGACATATTGTATAAATTATGCAGGTCAGATACTAGGTTTGCTAAATGCTGTAAGGTCATAAACTTATTCTTTGACTTTTGAAAATTGTCCAACTTACCTATTTTGGAGCCATCATAATCTATGTAAGGCCTGAGGACATGTGAAGTTAGGCATGCTCCCCTGGTTATGCTGCAAAGAATCAGACCTTATTCACACTTTCATTTGGTTTCCTAGGCTCCACACCTAGTACATAATTAAAATCATTTACTTACCAGGTTTTTCACCAAAAATAAAAGTTGCTAAGAGTTAACATTGTAACATTTAATTAAAACTACTAAAGAAAAAGTTTTACATGTAAGGTGTGCAAGGAAAGTGAAATGTGTTTTTTGTAAAAGATTATAACAAGCCAAGGTAATGTGTATATTTTTGCCTAGATTAAAGAATTCAAGTTTTGTTTTTCATTAGATGGAAAAAACCTGAAAGTTTGAACAAGTCATGGAAGGTTTGTGAAAAATTAACTTGTAAAAAAAAATTTTTTGTGTGAAATTATTGGGTAAAGATAAAGGAGTATTATTCAGTTTTTCTGTAAATTAAATATTGGAATAAAACCACAACAGGGTTTTCTTAGAGCATTGTTATGCTCTTTAACAAATAAAATTGTAAAGTGTTGTAAAAGGTTTATGAGAATCTTACCATAGAGTCAGACTGATTAAAATTGAATAGATTTGTCTATAAGGTTTTAAGAACTAAGTTTGACATCAACAGTACACCAGTGCGAAGGTAATATTTGGCTTTCTTTGGGCTGTATTTGTATAAATGTGTTATGAGCATTTATTCCAATTTGTTCTATAATTCTGATATTAATTACTGTATGTTATTAATCATTATAATTGTTAGGTAAAATTGTTATAATATGCCAAAGAAGTAACCAAAATTCCTAGTCAATTGTGGCTTTAATAGAGGCTGCCCTAAGATGTCTTGTCATCCAAGGAAATTATTGTTTTCTTTTGGTCCTCTTCAGAAGGTGGTTTTATAACCAGCTATAAAAATCTAAGAGGTGTTCTTGAATGCAGCATTCTGATGACTTTGGAGACTGTGACATTAGAATTAGGGAAAGACTTTTAGGACTCTCATGGAGAGCTGAAATGTTTATGAATATCAAGCAGAACAAAAGTTAACTGTACACATGGCCTGACCTAATAGAAAACTAAATTAATTATTTCATGACTTTTTGCTTAAAATGTTGCTGGTATTTTGTTTTTCAAAGCCAGGAAAACTTTTCTTTTGAGTTATTTACATCTTTTAACAATTCAGTAAAATATACTCCTATAAATAATCTTTGGAGCATATTTCTCCTTACTGGATTTATTCAAAATTTGAAAGCTATTTGCGAGTATTCTTAGCTAATGGCAATATAGTTATTTGCATAAATGCAATAAGAATCTGGTTTCTTTTACAACAGAACACAGTTGGAGGATCTGGTTATTTTACCAAGGCTTTGACTGGAATGGCATGCTTTCCCTTAAGGAATCAAATTTTACTTATAGAGCCAATAAAACCCCTTGGGTAAACTGTCCTCATACTTTGTCTACACAGTTCCTGTACAGGGTTGCTGACCTTTGGTAAGTAAAGAATGTCACTTTCTAATGGGCCCAGGAGCTTCAAGTTATCTTAGGACCTAAAGAGGAGAAGAATTTACCCAATCATACAGGTATTTGATGGCACCAATTCATGGCTGGGCTTAAGGCTTTAAGAAAACTCTTGCATGAGATTCATTATGGAATGAAGATCCATCAAAGTCAATTTAAAAAGGAGCCTATATAGAAAATAAACTTTCTGTGCTTTATGCCAATAATTTGCCAAGTATCATAAAACTAAACTTTATTTTGCAAACAAATAGTTACTTTAATGTTTTTTTAAAATAAAAATGAGAACTGGAGGGATAAAAATCATGTTTCGAGCACTATGGTACATTTATTATTAGATTCTAGTCTCATCAGTTCTTTTTGAGTTTTTGTCTGCAATTTAGACTAACTCTGCTTATTCCTGTGAGCCAACTAGTGATTACTGTTTGTACCTCAGAAGAAACAAAAGGTATAGGCTATCAAGCTCCAGATAATCCTCAGTGAGGGATATCATCTTTTCAATATTCAGAGTCACTCTTCTACAGGGGACCCCTGGACTGCCCGTCAGTGAGACATAACAGAGGCAAAATCCTGCCCCTGTCTCCCTAGACCCTGGCTGGATACCACATTCAAACACCCATGGAGCCACCTTCCTGCCCTGACAGCTAGCAACAGGCCAAGACCCACAGAGCGATCCACTGCCTCTTTGTCAGCAGTGAAGAGTTATAGAAGACTGACCTTTGTCCATTTTCTCCAAATAATTGGGGTCTTAAGATCATGAGTGGGAAAATGCTATAATAGGTAGCTGGTCAGGCATGAGCAGAGCAGGAGAGGGCTCCATCTGACCAGGAATATCAGGAGACCATCAGGTGATGGTCATGTGATTGTTAACTATCTCTCTCTAAAATAATAATTGGCCACAGCCAGCACCAGGGAAAGGCAGTCTTCCTAGAGATAGAAAAAAACCTGAAACTGGTGATCATCTGCTTCCTGATAAGATCTCAGGAGTTGGATGGCTGAGTTCAACCATGTACATGTAGAGGAAAAGTGACAGGGTTTAAATGGTAAATGACCTTCTAGGAGTATTTGTCTGGTAAGGGAGGAACACCTCAAGTGAGCATGCTTACAACTTCAGTAAACACACTGCATGATCAAATTCCAAGTACCGGTAAGCTGCTGTGCTTGTCAACAGCCCACCACAAGGGAGGAATCAGGGGAGAAAGGATGTGAGACCATGAATGTATGCCAGTATATAAAACCCCAAGTCAAAAGGTCAAACCATGAACCTGTCTTTCAGGTTGCCCACTTGGCCCTCTTCCAAGTGTACATTACTTCCTTTCATTCCTGCTCTAAAGCATTTTCACAAATTTTCACTCCTGCTCTAAAACTTGCCTCAGTCTCTTCTTCTGCCTTATGCCCCTCGTTTGAATTTTTTCTTCTGAGGAGGCAAGAATTGAAGTTGCTGCAGAATCATACAGATTCGCTGCCACTAACAAATTTTCCCAGTGCAGTAAAACCACATATCCACATTGAGGTTTTTGCTGTGATAGAAAAGGTGGCATTTTTTTTGCAGGGTTTCAAGCAAGGAGGGACAAGAAGCTATTGCTCCAATCTGGACCTCTCAGATGTCTTGCAGGACAAGATTTTAAAAGGCAGGGGTAAATTTTACAAAAGCAGAAGCTACATGCAAAATACTAAATCAATAGATAGAGGTTACACATTGTTTTTGGCCTTAAAAAGTTGAGATAGCTTAAAGTAGAACCTTACGGGTTGTAGGTAGATTTAATGATTTTTGGATTTGCAATTGGTTAAGGAAGCAAAGCTTTGTTTAATAATTTGTGGTCAGCAGAAAAAAATCTTAACTGTCTCAGAAGTGTGAGTTCTTCCAAACCCCTCAAAAAAGAATATATTACAGAGAATGGTGGTCACAATCCAGTCTTCAATGCCCCCCTATCTGAGCATTACATGTCAGTGGATCCATTTGGTGGGGGTCCTCAGTGGGGGGTTTCCATAGGGCCATAGTTTCCATAGGGAAACTAAACATCTCTGGACTCTAGCTTTCTTGGCTGTTGTTTAAATTACTGTCTCAGTCTATTTTCACACTGCTATAAAGCTACTACCTGAGACTGGGTAACTTATAAACAAAAGATGTTTAATTTACTTACAGTTCTGCATGGCTGGGGAGGCCTTAGGAAACTTAAAATTATTGTGAAAGGCAAAGGGGAAGCAAGGCACATCATACGTGGTGGAAAAAAAAGAGAGAACACAGAGGAGGCACTGCTACTTTTAAACCATCAGATCTCCTGAGAACTCTCTCACTGTCAAAAGAACAGCATGGGAGAAACCTCCTACATCATCCAATCACCTGCAACCAGGTCCCTGCCTGGACAAGTGGGGATTCGAGATGAAATTTGGGTGGGGACACAGAACCAAACCATGTTATGCTACTCTGGCTCCTCCTAAGTCTCATGTCCTTTTCACATTGAAAAACCAATTATGCCTTCTCAACAGTCCCCCAAAGTCTTAACTCATTCCAGCATTAACTCAAAAGTCCAAGTCCAAAGTTTCATCTAAGACAAGGCAAGTCCCTTTCACCTATGAGCCTGTAAAATAAAAAGTGAGTTAGTTCCTTCCAAGGTACAATGGGGGTTCAGTAATTGCATAAATATTCCCCTTCCAAATTGACCAAAGGTGTCACAGGCTCCATGCAAGTCTGAAACCCAGCAAGCAGCTATTAAATCTTAAAGCTCCAAAATAATCTATTTTAACTCCATGTCTTATACCCAGGTAATGCTGATGCAAGGGGTTGGCTCCCAATGACTTGGGTAGCTCTGCCCTTGTGGCTCTGCATGGTACATCCCCTGCAGCTACTTTCATAGGCTGGCATTGAGTGCCTGTGTCTTTTCCAGGTGCATTGTGCAAGCTGTCAGTGGAACTACCATCCTGAGATCTAGAGGATGGTGGCTGTCTTCTCACAGCTCCACTAAGTGGTGCCCCAGTGGGGACTCTGTGTGGAAGCTCCAACCCCACATTTCCCCTCTGCATTGCCATAATAGAGGTGCTCCATGAAGGTTATGCCCCTGCAGCAGATTTCTGTCTGGACATCCAGGCCTTTCCATACATCCTCTCAAATCTAGGTTGAGGTTCCCAAACCTCAACTCTTGGCTTCAGTGCACCTACAGGCCCAACACCATGTGGAAGTTGCCAAGGCTTCGGGCTTTCACCCTCTGAAGTGATGGCCTGGGCTGCATGTTTGTCCCTTTTATGCATGGGTGAAGCTGGAGTGGCTTGGATGTAGGGCACCAACTTCTGGGGCTGCACAGAGTAGCAGGGCCAAATGCCTGGGCCACAAAACCATTTTTCCCTCCTCAGCCTCCAGGCCTGTGATGGGAAGAGCTGCCATGAAGATCTCCGAAATGCCCTAGAGACCTTTGCCCCATTGTCTTGGTGGTTAACATTCGACTCCTCGCTACTTATGCAAATTTCTGCAGCCAGCTTGTATTCCTCCCAAGAACATGGGTTATTCTTTTCTACCACATGGTCAGCCTGCAAATTTTCCAAACCTTTATGCTCTGCTTCCTTTTTAAACATAAGTTCCCATTTCAAACCATCTCTTTGTGAATGCATATAAGTGAATGCTTTCAGAATAAGCCAGGTAACCTCTTGAATGTTTTACTGCTTAAAAATTTCTTCTGCCAGATACCCTAAATTATCTCTCTCAAGTTCAAAGTTGAATGGATCTCTAGGGAAGGGGCAAAATGCTACCAATCTCTTTGCTAAAGCATAGCATAGCAAGAGTGACCTTTGCTCCAGTTCCCAACAAATTCCTCATCTCTATCTGAGGCCACCTCAGCCTGGACTTTATTGTCCATATCACTATCAGCATTGTGGCCAAAACCATTCAACAAATCTCTAGGAAGTTCCAAAATTTTCCACGTATTTCTGTCTTTTTCTGAGCCCTCAAAACTGTTCCAAACTCTGCCTGTTACCCAGTTCTAAAGTCACTTCCACATTTTCAGGTCATCTTTATAACAGTACCCAAATCCTACTACCAATTCTCTATATTAGTCCATTCTCACACTGCTATAAAGACACTACCTGAGACTGGGTAATTTATAAACAAAAGAGGTTTAATTAATTCACAGTTCCACATGGTTGGAGAGACCTCAACAATCTTACAATCATGGCAGGAGGCAAAGGAAAAGCAAGGCACGTCTTACATCACAGTAGGAGAGAGAGAAAACATGGAGGAGATTGCCACCAAGCAGGCCTTCTTAAAAGGAAGAGAATGCTCTAGGTGTATTTAAAAATATCTAATTTTTTCCTCACCCTGCCAGAAGTACACCCATTATCTTTACTGTGGAAATGTGGGATGTATCCAAGAGGTAAAATGCATAAAAGTTTGAGGGCCTCCTAAGACCAGGCCTCCTTGAAGGTGTTTTTCCTTTTAGCTCCCAGTCTTGTCCACGCTTAGCTTCCATCAATTTGTCAATTACAGTATAATTTGGGAGTAGGGTTTTCTACCCCATTACTAATATCCACGAAGTGTTTGCTTTTAATTTTATTCGAATAAGTTGTGATTCATCATATTCACTAGAATGTGTTTCCAATTTGAAAAATAGTGTGTGTTTTTTTTTTGACTTCTGTTATTTGATGGATCTATGAAGAGTCTCTGATTTTTAGTTTTTTCAGCATTTTACTTGTCAGACAGAGCGACTACTGCCAAGTCCTGTATTTATTAGCACATTAGGCTGAAATTTCTTACTTCCAATTTCTAATATTTTTCTTTGAGTATTTGTCTGAAATGTTCATATTTCCTATTGTAGAAATTTTAAACAAATTTGAATTAAGATAATACTAACATATCAAGAGCCAATAGCCTAAAGAGTCTTTCTCTGTATGATATATACAGAATAGTTTACATAAATTTCTAACCAACATTGAAATTCAGTTCAAGAAATATTGATAAAATTATAAATATGGTGTACAAAGAAAATCTGCTTTTTGTTTTTCCTATAAATATAAGGTGAAGGCATGAAATATTCTTAGGCAGCTAAAAACTCTAGGCATTATTGCCTACATATTTTGTATGCATTCTTTGCATCATTTGTTTTTACTCATTTATTCTACAAGCACCACCAATAAATTTAAATGAGATGTCACCTCCCATTATATATTACTTTATTCTTCTATGTGTCCTATTACATTGAATGACACCAATATATATGTATTCTCCCAAGTAAAAAATGCCAACAGTACCTTTAAATACCTTTCCAGTACCAACCTACCAAAGTTAGAGCATATAGCCCAGGAGTGCTGAGCTGAGACTTAAACCCCTAAAATCTTCTAGGATAAAAGCTAGTCAACTGAATATACTTTATACCACAATCAAATCCCCAAGGGCACCAAAGAAGATAAAAGCAAAAAACCCCATGCAAAAGCCAGCAACTTCAAAGATTAAAGGATCATACACCCACACACATAAGAACCAGTGCAAGAACTCCAGCAACTCAAAAATCTAAATTTACCTGCAAATGATAGCAGTAGTTCCCCTAGCAATGGTTCTCAACCAGGCTGAAATGGCTAAAATGACAAACATAGAATTCATAATATGGGTCAGAATGAAGATCATTGGGATTTAGTAGAAAGTTGAAACCCAATTCAAGGAATCTAAGGAATACAACAAAACAGTACAGGAGCTGAAAGAGAAAGAACCAAAATGATCTGATAAGGCTGAAAAACTCACCACAAACATTTCATAATACAATCACAAATATTGATAGCAGAATAGACCAAGCTGTGGATATAATCTCAGAGCTTGAAGACTAGTTCTCTGAATTTACCCAGACAAAAGTAAAGAAAAAAATAATGTAAAAAAATGAACAAAACCTTCAAAAAGCCAAAAGCATAGGATTACATAAAGAGACCAAATATATAACTCATTGGTATACCTAAAAGAGAGAAAAAGTGAGCAACAACAAAAAAACATGTTTCATGATATCATCCACCAAAATTTTTCCATCCTCATTAGAGAAGCCAACATTCAAATTTTAAAAATGCAGAGAACCCATACAGGATACTGTACAAGCTGACCATACTCAAGACATATAGACATCAGATTCTCCAAGGTCGACATGAAAGAAAATATATTGAAGGCAGCTAGAGAGAAGAGGCAGATCATCAACAAAGGGTGCCCCATCAGGCTAACAGTGAATCTCTCAGCAGAAACCCTACAAGCCAGTAGAGATTGAGGACCTATATTCAGCATTCTTAAGAAAATAAGTTCCAACCAAGAATTTTATATGCAGCCAAACTAAGCTTCGTATGCAAAGGAGAAAAAAGATCCTTTTCAGACAAGCAAATGCTAAGGAAATGTGTTACCATCAGACCTCCTTACAGGAAGTCACTATGGGAGTGCTAAATATGGAAATGAGAGACCATTATTAGCCACCACAAAAATACACTTAAGTACACAGACCATCGACACTATAAGGCAACTACACAATCAAGTCTGCATAATAATCAGCTAACAGCACGATGATAGGAACAAATCCTCACATATCAATGTTAACCTTAAATATAAACTGGCTAAATCCCCCAATTGAAAACACAGAGGGGAAAGTTTGAAAAAGAAGCAAGACCCAATTGTATGGTATCTTCAAGAGATCCGTCTCACATGCAAAGACACCCATGAGCTCAAATTAAAGGGATGGAGAAAAATCTACCAAGCAAATGGAAAACAACAAAAAAAGCAGAGGTTGGTAATCTAATTTCAGACAAAATAGACTTTAACAATGATCAGAAAAGGCACAGAAGGGCGTTACATAATGGTAAAGTTTTCAATTCAGCAAGACTCACCTATCCCCAAATATATATTTGCACCCAACACAGGAGCACCCAGATTCATAAAACAAGTTCTTAGAGGCCTACAAAGAGACTTGGATAACCACATAATAATAATGAAAAACTTCAACACTGTACTGGCAGTATTAGACAGATAATTGAGGGAGAAAACTAACAAAAAAAATTTGGGAGCTGTACTTAACACTTGACCAAAAGAAGCTAAGAGATACCTAAAGAATTCTAATCCCACAAAGACATTTGGGAGCTGAACTCGACACTTGGCCAAAACAACCTAACAGATATCTACAAATCTCTCCACATGAAACCAACAGAGTATACATTCTTTTCATTTGCTCATAGCCCATACTCTGAAATTGACCATGAAGTCTGCCCTAAAACAATTCTCAGCCAATTAAAAAAAAAAAATTATAACAATCACACTCTTAAACCACGACACAATAAAAATAGAAATCAATACTGAGATCATTCCAAACCATACAATTACATAGAAATTAAACAATCTGCTCCTGCATGACGTCTGGGTAAATAATGAAATTAAGGCAGAAATCAAGAAATTTTTTGAAACTAATGAAAACAAAGATGCAACATATCAAAATATCTGGGACACAGCTAAAGCTGTTTAAAGAGGAGAGCTTATAGACCTAAATAACCACATCAAAAAGTCAGAAAGATCTCAAATCAACAACCTAATATTACACCTAGAGAACTAGAGAAGTAAGACCAAACCAACCTTAAAGGTAGAAGACAAGAAATAACCAAAATCACAGTTGAAATGAAGGAAATTGAGAGGAGAAAAACCATGCAAAAGATCAATGAAACCAGAGGTTTGTTTTTTTTCAAATAAGATTGATAGACCACTAGCTAGACTAATAAAAAGACAAAGAAGATATAATTAAACACAATCGGGAATGACAAAGGAGACATAACCACTGACCTCACAGAAATACAGAAACACTCTCAGAGATTATTATGAACACATCTCTGCCCACAAATTAGAAAACCTACAAGGAGTAAATAAATCCTTAGAAATACACAATCTCACAAGATTGATCCAGTAAGAAATTGACACCTGAACAAAACTAACAATGTGTTCCAAAATAGAATCAGTAATAAGAACCCTACCAATCAGAAAAAGCCTGCACAAGAAGGATTCACAGACAAATTACACAAGACGTACAAAGAAAAGCTGGTACCATTCCTACTGAAACACTTCTAAAAAGTGTGTTAGAGGAATGCCTCCCTAACTCCTTCTATGAGGCCATCATCACTCAGAACCAAAACTTGGCAGAGACAAAAAAAAAAAAACAACAAAAAGAACTTAAGGTCCATATCCTTGATGAACATAGATGCAAACATCTTCACCAAAATACTAGCAAACTGAATGCAGCAGCACATGAAAAGGCGAATCCACCACGATCAAGTAGGCTTTATCCCTGGGATGCAAGATTTGTTCAAAATACCCAAATCAATAAATGTGATTTATTGCATAAAAAATATTAAAAACCAAAACTATATGATTATCTCAATACATGCAAAAAAGGCTTTTGCATGTATTGAGATGAAGCATTCTTATATGTTAAAAACGCTTAATAAACTAGGCATCAAAGGAATATACTTCAAAATACCAAGAGCCACCTGTGACAAACCCACAGGTAACATCATACTGAATGGGCAAAATCTGGAAGCATTCCCCTTGAGAACTGAAATGAGACAAAGATGCTGACTCTTGCCACTCCTATTCAATATAGTATTGGAAGTCCTAGCCAGAACAGTCAGGCAAGAGGAGAAAGAAATAAAAGGCATCCAAATAGGAAGAAAGAAAATCAATCTATCTCTGTTTTCAGATGATATGATTTAATGCCTAGAAAACCCCATAAACTTTGCCCAAAAGCTGATAGATCTGATAAAGTACTTCAGCAAGTTCCAGGATACAAAATTAATGTATAAAAATCAGTAGTATTTCTATACATCAATAACATCCAAGCTAAGTGCCAAATCAAGAATGCAATCACATTCACAATGATCAGAAAAATAAAATATCAAGAATACAACTGTATTGGGCTGTTCATGCATTGCTATAAAGAAATACCTGAGGCTGGGTAATTTATAAAGAAAATAAGTTTAATAGGCTCTCAGTTCTGCAGGGTATACAGGAATCATGATGCTGGCATGTGCTCATATTCTGAGAATGCCTCAGAGAGCTTTTACTAATGGCAGAAGGTAAAGCAGGAGCAGGCATGTTGCATGAAAAAATCAGGAGCAAAAGGAGTGGGGAGGTGACACATAATTTCAAACAGCCAGATTTTATGAGAACTCATTCATTATAGTGAGGAAAGCACCAAGCCAAGAGTGATTCACTCTCATGATCCAATAGCCTCCAACTAGGCTCATTGATAGCTCCAACACTGGGAATTACAATTCAACATGAGATTTATGTGGAGATGAATATTCAAACTATATTAATATGCACCTGCTCCTTTCGAAGTTCATGTCCTTCTCACGTTGAAAAATATAAATACACCTCCTCAATATTCCCCCAAAGTCTTAACTCATTGCAGCATTATCTTAAAAGTCTCAAGCCCAAGTCTAAAAACTTAATGGAGATTAGGCAAGTTTCTTCCACCTATAAGCCTGTAAAATCACAAACAAGTGGTTTAGTTCCAAATTACAATGGAAGTATAGTCATTGGGTAAACAATATTGTTCCAAAATAGAGAAAACATCCAAAAGAAGGGGATTACAGGACTCATGCCAGTTCAAAACCCAGCAGGGCAGTCCTTAAATCTTAAAGCTCCAAAAAATCTCATTTTACTACATGACACATATCTAGAGCACAATGGTGCAAAAAGTGGGCTCCCAAAGGCTTGGACAGCTGTGCAGCTCTGGCTTTGCAGGGTTCAGCTCCATGGAGGCTCACGGGTTGTTGAGTACAAGCAGATTTTCCAGATGCAGGGAGAAAACTGCCAGTAGATTCACCATTATGGAAGCTGAAAGACACTGGCTTCCTTCTCACAGCTCCACTAGGGTGTGCCCTGCTGGGGGCTCTGTGTGGGGCTCCAAACCCACATTTCTCCTTGGAACTACCCTAGTAGAGCTTCTCTGTGAGGGCTCTGTCCCTGTAGCAAGCTTCTGCCAGGGCACTCAGCTTTTCTCATACATCCCCTGAAATCTAGGCAGTGGGTACCAAGCCTCCTTTACTCTTGCACTCTGCATACTTGCAGGCTTAACTACATGGAAGCTGTTATGGATTATGGCTTTTGCCATCTGAAGCAGTAGCCCAAGCTCTATCTGGAGCCCTTTGAGGTGAGTTTGGAGACAAAGTTACCACAATACAAGGAGCAATGTTCCGAGGCTGTGGAGGGCAGTGAAGAGCTGGGCTTGCCCCACAAAACAACTCAGTCCTCATAGGCCTCAGAGCCTGTGTTTGGAAGGGCTACTTCCTAGATCTCTGAAACACTTTCAAGATCTTTTTCCCATTGTCTTTCCCCTGATTCTTTTTTATTTATGCCAGTCTCTCTAGTAAGTTGTTGCTCCACGGCCAGCTTGAATTATTCCCCTGAAAATGCTTTTTATTTCTCTTCCACAAGACAAACCTACAAATTTCCTAAACTTTCATGTTCTACTTTCCTTTTCAATATAAGTTCTGACTTTAAAACATTTTTTTTTGGTCCTACATCTCAGCATGAGCTGTTAGCAGTAGCCAGGCCATATCTTGAATGTTTTGCTGCTTAGAAATGTCTTCTACCAGATACCCTAAATCATCACTCTCAAATTCAAACTTTCACAGATTCCCAGGGTATAAACACAATGCAGCCAAGTTGTTTTCTAAGGCATAACATACAACCTTTGCCTCAATTTCTCATAAGTATCTCATTTTTTATCTGAGACCTTAGCAATCTAGACTTCACTGTTCATTTCACTATAAGCATTTTGGATACAATCATTTAACCAGTCTCTAAGGAGTTCCAAACTGTCCTTAATATTCCTATCTTCTTCTGAGCCCACCCAACTCTCTCAACCTCTACCTATTGCCCAGTTCCAAAGCTGCTTCCACCTTTTAAGGTTTATGTGTAACAACGTCTCATCCCTTGGTACCAATTTTCTGTATTAGGCTGTTCTTTATTGCTATAAAGAAATACCTGAGGCTGGGTAATTTACAAAGAGAAGAAGTTTAATTAGCTTATGATTCTGAAGGTTGTACAGGAAGCATGGTGACAACATCTGCACAGCTTCTGGGGAGCCCTCAGGAAATTTTACTCATTCCAGAAGATGAAGCATGACCAGGCATATCACATGGCAAAAGCAGGAGTGGTGGGGGGAGTACTGACATACTTTTAAATAACCACATCTCATGAGAACTCACTCAATATTGTGAGAAAAACACCAACGCATGAGATTTCATTGCCCTTATCTAATCATCTTCCACCAGTCCCCACCTCCAACGCTGGCGATTAAAATTCAACATGCGATTAGGATGGGGACAAATATTCAACACTGTCAACAGCTAATGAGGAATGTGAAAGTTCTCTTCAATCAGAATCAGAAAACACTGCTGAAAGAATTCAGAGATGACACAATTTCATGCTCATGGATAGGAATAATTAATATTGTTAAATAACCATACTTCCCAAAGAATTTAGAGATTCAACGCTATACCTATCAAACTACCAATAAAATTTTTCACAGAATAAAAAAAAGCTATTCAAAAAATCATATGGAATCAAAAAAGATCCTAAAAAGCCAAATGAACAAAGCTGGATGAATCATATTACCCAACATTGTCAACAGCTAATGAGGAATGTGAAAGTTCAATAAAATTGTAGGCCATTATCCTAAGCAAACTAATACAGGAACAGAAAACCAAATACCATATGTTTTTACTTATAAGTGGGATTTAATCATTGAGTACACATGGACACGAAAAAAGGGAACACTGGATGCAAGGTCCTACTTGACGCTCGAGGTTAGGAAGAAAGCGATAATCAAAAACCTATCAGATACTATGTGTATTACCTGAATGATGACATTATCGGTACACCAAATCCCCGTGACATTCAATTTACCTGTGAAAGAAATCTGCACATATACCTCTTGAACCTAAAATAAAAATGGAAAAGAAAAAAAAGATGGGAACAATAGACACTGAGGGCTTCAAAGGGAGGTAGGAAGGAAGGGGGCCATGGGCTGAAGAACTTCCTATTATGTACTATGCTATGTCTTTGGATGACTGAATCAATAGAAGCCCTTACTTTAGCATCATGGAACAAATCTTGTACATCTTGTTAACAAATTCGCCCATGTACTCTCTGAATCTGAAATTAAAATTAAAATAAATTAAAACAAAGGCAAACAATATTGTGTGCCCAGTTAGTGGTTAGAAATAGATTTTTATGAAGTTGAGAAGTTTATCTTTATTTAGGGGCTTAAGGTGATCCATACAATTTTAGATTTATAATATAGGAAATAAGGTATTTTTTCACTGTAAACTCTGAAGAAAATTTCTCCATAATTACTTTTAATTTAAATATTTTAAATATGTGGTTTAGTGGGAAAAAAATCAGTATGCACAATAATTTATTTTGTAAAAATGAAATTTTTGTCAGAGAATGCAAGAGAAATTTGAAGATGTAATGACACAAGATCTGCCATATTTTAATATTTGTTTTTCAATAATTAATATAGGGTGATTATCTGTCCCTAAATAGAAAGACCAAGCTGGGTGGATCACGAGGTCAGAAGATTGAGACCTTCCTGGCTAACACAGTGAAACCCCATCTCTACTAAAAATACAAAAAAATTAGCTGGGCGTGGTGGTGGGCACCTGTAGTCCCAGCTACTCAGGAGGCTGAGTCAGGAGAATGGCGTGAACCCGGGAGGCAGAGCTTGCAGTGAGCCAAGATTGCACCACTCCACTCCAACCTGGGCAACAGAGCAAGACTCTGTCTCAAAAAAAAAAAAAATTATTATTTCTTTAAACTGGTATACTACTGCCAAAAAGTAGAAAATGGATTAGGTAGGTGTTCTAAATAGATGTCAATTTCTATGATTCCCTGAAAACATTTTATGGAGCACCAAAGTCCAACAGAGAAAGAATTAGTTTTAATTTTGTAAAACTGCAGAAATTGCTTTCTTTTGTTTTAATTTTAATTTTTAATTTCAATAGGTTTTGAGGAAAAAGATGGAATTTAGTTACACGGATAAGTTCTTTAGAGGTGATTTCTGAAATTTTATTGCATACATCACCCCAGCAGTGTACACTGTACCCAATGTGTAGTCTTTTATTCCTCACCCACATCCCACCCTCTGCCTTGAGTCCCCAAAGTCAACTGTGTCATTCTTATGCCTTTGCATCTTCATAGAAAGTTCCCTCTTATGAGTGGGAACAGACAATGTTTGGTTTTCCATTCTTGAGTTACTTTATTTAGAATAATGGTCTCCAGTTCCACTTAGGTTGCTGTGAATGCCACTATTTTTTTCCTTTTCATGAGTAATATTTCATTGTATGTAATATATATATATATATATATATATATATATATATACACACACATATATGCATATTAGGGCTGGTTCCATATTTTTAGAATTGTTGCTGTAAACATGTGTGTGCAAGTATCTTTTTTTTATAATAACTTGTTTACCTCTGGGTAGATACCCAGTAGTGGGATTGCTGGATCAAACAATCGATCTACTTTTTTTCTTTAAGAAATCTCCACACTGTTTTCCATAGTGATTGTGAGAGGTGAAGCCAACTGGAATTCCTGGGTGGAGTGGGGACTTAGAGAACTTTTCCATCAAGCTAAAAGATTGTAAACACACCAATCAGTGCTCTGTGTCTAGCTAAAGGATTGTAAATGCACCAATCAGCAATCTGTAAAAATACACCAATCAGCACTCTGTGTCTAGCTAAAGGATTGTAAATGCACCAATCAGCACTCTGTAAACACACACCAATCGGCACTCTGTGCCTAGCTAAAGGATTGTAAATGCACCAATCAGCCCTCTGTAAAATAGACCAATCAGCACTCTGTAAAATGGACCAATCAGCACTCTGTAAAATGTGCCAGTCAGCAGTCTCTAAAATGGACCAATCAGTAGGACATGGGCAGGTCCAAATAAGGGAATAAAAGCTGGCCACCCAAGCCAGCAGCGGCAACCTGCTTGGGTCCCCCTCCACACTGTGGAAGCTTTGTTCTTTTGCTCTTCACAATAAATCTTACTGCTGCTCATTGTTTGGGTCCACACCACCTTTAAGAGCTGTAACACTCACCACAAAGGTCTGAAGCTTCATTACTGAAGTCCGGGAGACCACGAAACTACCAGAAGGAAGAAACTCCAGACACATCTGAATATCTGAAGGAACAAACTCTGGACACACCATCTTTAAGAACTCTGACACTCACCGCAAAGGTCTGCAGCTTCATTCCTGAAGTCAACAAGACCAAGAACCCACCAGAAGGAATAAATTCTGGACACAATTTTACTAGTTTTCATTCCTACCAACAGTGTAAAAGTGTTCTTTTTTCACCGTATCCACACCAAAGTCTATTTTTTTTTATTATGTCCATTCTTGCAGAAGTAAGGTTGTATTGCATCGTGGTTTTCATTAGCATTTCCCTGATAATTAATGATGCTGAGTATTTTTATATGTTTGTTGGGAATTTGCGTATCTTCTCTTGAGAATTGTCTGATCATATCCCTATCCCACTTTTTGATAGGATTGTTTGTTTATTTTGCTGATTTGATTGAGTTCCTTTTAGATTCTGGATATTAGTCCTTTGTCAAATGCATGGTTTGTGAAGATTTTCTCCCAATCTGTAAGTTGTCTGTTTACACTGCTGATTATTTCTTTTGCTGTGCAGAAGCTTTTTAGTTTAATTAAGTAATATCTATTTATCTTGTTTTTGTTGCACTTGCTTTTGGGTTCTTGGTCATGAAATCTTTGCCTAAACCAATGTCTAGATGAATTTTTCCATAGTTATCTTTGAGAATTTCTACAGGTTCAGGTCTTAGATTTAAGTCCTTGATTCATCTTGGGTTGATTTTTGTATAAGGTGAGAGATGAGGATCCAGTTTCATTCTTCTACTTTTGGCTTGCCAATTGTCACAGTATATTGTTGAATAGGATGTCCTTTCCCCAATTCATGTTTGTATTTGCTTTGTTGAAGATTAGTTAACTGTAAGTATTTGGCTTTATTTCTGGGTTCTCTATCCTGTTTTTATACCAGTACTGTGCTGTTTTGGTGACTATATCCTTACAGTATAATTTGAAGTCAGGTAATGTGATGCCTCCAGATTTGTTCTCTTTGCTTAGTCTTGCTTTGACTACGTGGGCTCTTTTGTGGATCAATATGAATTTTAGGATTGTTTTCTCTAGTTCTGTGCAGAACAATGGTGGTATTTTGATGGGAATTGCACTGAATTTGTAGATTGCTTTTGGCAGTATGGTCATTTTCACAATGTTGATTTTACCCATCCATGAACATGAAATGTGTTTTCATTTGTTTTTGTATGTCTATGATTTCTTTCAGCAGGGTTTTGTCATTTTCCTTGTAGAGGTCTTTCACCTCCTTGGTTAGGTACTTTCCTCAGTATTTTATTTTTATTTTTTGCAGCTATTGTAAAAGAGGTTGAATTCTTGGTTTGATTATCTTCTTGGTCACTGTTAATGTGCAGCAGTGCTACTTATTCTCGTACATTGATTTTGTATGCTGAAACTTTACTGAATTAATTTATTAGTTCTAGGATCTTTTTGGATTTGTCTTTAGGGTTTTATAGATATAGAATCATATCATTGGCAAATAGCAACAGTTTGACTTCCTCTTCACCAATTTGGATGCCCTTTATTTTTTTTCTCTTGTCTGATTGCTCTAGTTAGGACTTTCAGTACTATGTCGAATAAATGTGGTGAAAGTGGGCATCCCTGTCTTGTTCCAGTTCTCAGGGGGAATGCCTTCAACTTTTCCCTGTTCAGTATAGCGTTGGCTGTGGATTTGTCATAGACGGCTTTTATTACCTTATAGTATGTCCCTTGTATCCCAATTTTGCTGAGGGTTTTATCATACAGGGATGCTGGATTTTGTCAAATGCTTTTTCTTCATCTATTAAGATGATCATGTAATTTTTGTTTTTAATTCTGTTAATTTGGTGTATCACATTAATTAATTTACATATGTTAAACCATCCCTGCATCCCTCAAAGAAAACCCACTTGATCATGGTGTATTGTCTTTGTGATATGCTGTTGGATTTGGTTAACTGGTATTTTGTTGAGAGTTTTTGCTTGTAGCTTCATCACAGATATTGATCTGTAGTTTTTGTTGTTGTTGTTGTTGTTGTTGTTGTTATATCCTTTCCTGATTAGTATTGGGGTAATACTGGCTTCATAGAATGATTGAGGGAGGATTCCCTCTTTCTCTATTTTTTTGAAATAATCTCAAAAGGATTGGCACCAATTCTTGTTTGAATGCCTGATAGAATTCTGCTGTGAATTTTTCTGGTCCTGGGCTTTTTGTTGTTGTTGTTGGCAATTTTTTTAAATTGCCATTTCAATCCCACTGCTTTTTACTGGTCTGTTTAGAGTTTCCATGTCTTCCTGGTTTAATCTAGGAGAGTTGTATATTTTTAGGAATTTTTCAGTCTTCTCTAGGTTTTCTAGTTTGTGCATGTAAAGGTGTTCAGGGTAACCTTGAATGATCTTTTGTATTTCCACGGTATTGGTTGTAATATCTCCCATTTCATTTCTAATTGAGCTTATTTGGATTTTCTTTCTTCTTAATCTTGTTAATGATCTGTCAATTTTACCTTTTCAATGAACCAGCTTTTCATTTTATTTTTCCTTTGTATTGTGTTTTTTGGTGTTGTTTCAATTTCATTTAGTTCTTCTCTTATCTTTGTTGTTTTTTTTTTCTTCTGTTGGGTTTGGTTTTTTCTTGTTTCTCTAGTTCCTTGATGTGTAACCTTAGAATCTCTATTGTGCATTTTCAGACTTTTTGACATAGGCATTCAATGTTATGAACTTTCCTCTTAGCACCACTTTTGCTGTATACCAGAGGTTTTGATAGGTTGTGTTACTATTACCATTCAGTTTAAATAAATTTTTAATTGTCATCTTAATTTTATTGCTGACTCAATAATCATTCATGGGAAGGTTATTTAATTTCTATGTATTTGCAAGATTTCAAGGTTTCCTTTAGGTGTTGATTTCCAATGTTATCCCACTGTGGGCTGAGAGAGTGCTTGATATAATTTCTATTTTCTTTAATTTATTGAGACTTATTTTGTGGTCTATCATATGCTCTATCTTGGAGAATGTTCCATGTGCTGATTAATAGAATATATATTCTGCAGTTGTTGGGTAGAATGTTCTGTAAATATCTATTAAGTCCATTTGTTCTAGGGTATAGTTTGAGTCCATTGTATCTTTGTTGACTTTCTGACTTGATGACCTGCCTAGTGCTGTCAGTGGAGTATTGAAGTCCCCCACTATTATTGTGTTACTGTCTACCTCATTTCTTAAGTCTAGTCATAATTGCTTTATAAATTTGGGAGCTCCATTGTCAGGTTCATATATATTTAAAATTGTGATGTTTTCCTGTTGGACTGGTTATTTTTAATCATTATGTAGTGTCCCTCTTTGTCTTTTTTAGCTGTTGCTTTAAAGTCTGTTTTTTCTGACATAAAAATAGCTACTCATGCTCACTTTTGGTGTCAATTTGCATGGAATATCTTTTTCCACCCCTTTACCTTAAGTTAATGTGGGTCCTCATGTTTTAGGTGTTTCTGTTGAAGACAGAAGATACTTGTTTGGTGAATTTTTATCCATTCTGCCATTCTGTATCTTTTAAGTGGAGCATTTAGACCATTTATATTCAACATTAGTATTTAGATGTGAGGCACTATTCTATTCATCATGCTTGTTGTCGCATAAATGATTTTCTTCTTTGTGTTATTGTTTTATAGGTCCGATGAGATTTGTGCTTTAAGGTTCTATTTCAGTGTATTTCGTGGATTTGTTTTATGACTTAGAGCTGATTTTATTAGTTCTTGTAGTGCTGGCTTGGTCATGGTGAATTATCTCAGTATTTGTCTGAAAAAGGCTGTCTATATTTTTTCATTTATGAAGCTTAGTTTTGCTGCACACAAAATTCTTGGCTGATAATTGTTTTTATTTAAGGAGGCTAAAGATAGGATCCTGTCCCTTATAGCTTGTAGGGTTTCTACTAAAAAAATCTGTTGTTAATCTTATAAAGGTTTTCCTTTATAGGTTACCTGACAGTTTTGCCTCAAAACTCTTAAGATTCCTTTCTTTATTTTAACTTTAGATAACCTGAAGCCTATGTCCCTAGGTGATGTTCTTTTTGCAATGAATTTTCTAGATGTTTTTTGATCATTTTGTTTTTGGCTGTCTAAGCCGCTAGCAAGGCCAGAAAAGTTTTCCTTGATTATTTCTTCAAATATAAAGTTTGGTGCAAAAGTAATTCCAGTTTTTGCCATTACCCTAATATATTTTCCAAACTTTTAGATTTCTCTTCTTCCTCAGGAATAGTAATCATTCTTAGGTTTTGTCATTTAATATAATCCGAATATTCTTGGAGTCTCTGCTTATTTTTTTATATTATTTTTATTTGTCTTTGTTGGGTTGAGTTATTTCAAAAGCCTTTTGTTTGAGCTTTGAAGTTATTTCTTCTACTTGTTTGATTCGATTGCTGAGACTTTCTGTATTTTGCATTTCTGTATGTGTTTTCCTCATTTCCAGAAGTTGTGATTGTTTTTTATTTATCTTATCTAGTTTTCTGGATATTTTTCTGTCCATATCCTGTGGTTTTCTCTGATTTATTCAGGTTGGTATTCACCTTTCTCTGGTGCCTCCTTGAGTAGCTTAATAATTGACCTTCTATGTTTTTTTTCTGGCAATTCAGAGATTCTTTATTTATTTATTTATTTATTTTGGTTTGCATTCATTGCTCATGAGCTAGTGTTATCTTTTGGGGATGGTAAGCAACCTTGTTTTGTCATATTACCAAATCTGATTTTCTGGTTTCTTCTCATTTGGATAGACTATGCCAAAGGGAAGATCTGTGGCTCAAGGGCTGTTGTTCAGATTCTTTTGTCCCATGAGATGTTCCCTCAGTGAGGTGCTCTCCTCCTTCCCCTAGAGATGGGGCTCTCTGAAAGCCTGCAAAGAGCCCTGGGATATGATCCATCTTCAGATCTCTCAGCCACGGATACCACTACCTGTTCCAGTGGAGGTAGCAGGCAAGTAAAGTGGACTCTGTGAGGGTTCTTGGTTGTAGTTCTGCTGTTGTTGTTAGTTCCAGTTGCTTTATTTCTGCTTCTTATATTTCATCAAACAGAAGTAAAATTTTCTGGAGGTAGTTCTATTTTTAAAGACCTTTTTTAATTTATGTTTTTTTGAAATTGCAGTTTTAGTTTCACACCAAAACTGAAAGATACAAAGTTTTTATCTACCCCTAGGCATGTATAGCCTCTGTGGTTACCAACATTCCTCAATAAACTGATACATTTGCTATAATTGATGAACCTCCATTGGCACATTATAGTCACCCCAAGTCAATAGTTTACAGTAGGGCTCACATTTGGTATATCTTTTATAGATTTAAGAATGTATAATGTTTTTAAATTAATGTATTCATGATTATAGTATCACATAGAATATGTTCACTGCTCTAAAACTCCTTGGTGGTTTACCTATTGATTTCTCCGTCCCCTAAATTACTGTAAACCACTAATATTTTTACTGTCTCCATAGCTTTTCTAGAATATCATAGTCAGAATCTTACAGTATGAAGCCTTTTCAGATTGGCTTTTGTACTTTCTAATATACAATGATGATGCCTTCATGTTTTTTACAGCTTGAGTTTTTTTTTTTTTTTTGAGTGTTTAGTAATGTTTTCTTATCTGGATATACCAAAGTTTATCTATTAATTTACCTACTGAGTGATGCCTTCATTGTTTCCAAATTTTGGAAATTATAAATAAAGCTGCTCTAAACATCTGTGTGCATGTTATTGTGTGAACATGAGATTTTAACTCCTTTGGGTAAACAACAAGGATCCCAATTGCTGGATTATATAGTAAGAGTGTATTTAGTTTTGTAAAACAAAATAACAAAAAACAAAAGAGAAAACTCTTCCGCAAAGTGACTATATGTCATTTTACATTTCCATCAGCAATAAGAGTTCCTGTTGCTCTACATTCTTACCAGCATTTGGTGGTGTTAGTGTTCCAAATAATGGCCATTCTAATGTATATGTGGTGTTATTTCATTGTTTTAATTTGTACTTCATTTATGACATAGTAGAGCATCTTTCATACGATTATTGACCATCTGTATATTTTCTTTGTTGTGGTATGTGTTCAGATCTTTGTCTTACTTTTTAATTGGGTTGTTTTCTTATTGTTGAATTTCAAGGGTTGTTTGTATACATTAGATAACGTTTCTTTATCAGATGTGTCTTTTGCAAATATTTTTCTCTGTCTGAGGCTTGTTTTCTCATTTTCTTAACATTGTCTTTTGCAAAGGAGTTTTTTGATTTGAAAAAAATCTTCCCTTTAATTATTTATTTCCTCAATCATGCCTCTTGTGTTGTATGTAATAAGCTATCAGCATACCCAAGGTCAAGTAAGTTTTCTCCCATGTTATCTTCTAAAATTCTAATAGTTTTGCATTTTATATTTAGGTCTGTAATCCATTTTAATGTAATTTTTTAAAGGTGTCAGGTCAATGTCTAGATTATATATTTTTCTTTTGCATAAGAATGTCCAATGTCCAGGTAATTCAGCATTACTTATTTATTGAAAAGACTATTTTTGCCCTGTTGTATTGTCTTGGCCACTTTGCCAAAGATGGGTTGACTAAATATTATGTAGATATACTTCTGGGCTTTCTATTCTTTTCTGTAAATCTTTTTGTCTATTATTTTGTCAATACCATACTTCCTTTTTTATGGTAGCTGTATAGTATATCTTTAAGTCAGGTAGTGTCAGTCCTCCAACTTTATTATTTTTCTTCAATATTGTGTTGGCTATTCTAGATCTTTTGCCTCTTCATATGAACTTTGCAAACATTTTGTTAATATTCACAAAAACAGCTGCTGAGATTTTTATTGGTATTGCATTTAATTTCTAGATAAAATTGAGAAGAACTGACATGTTGACAATATTGAGTCTTTCTATCCATGATCTCAGACAGTATTTGTTCATTCTCACACTGCTCTAAAGAACTAGCCAATACTGGGTAATTTAGAAAGAAAGGAGGTTTAATTTACTCATAGTTCTGCATAGCTTGGGAGGCCTCAGGAAATTTACAATCATGGTAGAAAAGGAAGCAGTCACATCTTACAAGGTGGCAGGTGAGAGAGAGAGAGAGAGAGTGTGTGTGTGTGTGTGTGTGTGTTTGTATGTAGGAGAAACTATCAAACACATAAAGCCATCAGATTTCATGAGAACTTACCCACTATCATAAGAACAGCATGGTGAAAACCACCCTTATGATCAAATCACCTGCCACCAGGTCCCTCCCTTGATGCCTGGAGATTACAATTTTAGTTGAGATTTATGTGGGGATACAGAGCCGAACCATATCACAGACTACCTCTCTATTTACTTAGCTCTTCTTTAATTCCATTCAAAAGAGTTTTATAGTTTTCATCATATAAATTTTATCTATATTTTATTAGATTTCTACCTAAATATTTTAGTTTTTTTGTATACTAATGTCAATGGCACTGTGTGTTTCATTGTAAATTCTATTTGTTCATTAATGGTAAATACAAAAGTGATTGACTTTTGTATATTAACCTTACATCTTGGAACATTACTATAGTTGTTTATTAGTTATATTGTTTACTATAATTGTTTATTTTTTGTTAAACTTTTCAGGTTTTCTACATAGATGTTCATGTAATCTGGGAACAAGGACTTCCTTCTAAATTTATAAATATTTTATTTTATATTCTTGTCTTACTACATTCACTAATACTTCCAATGTAATGCTGAAAAGGAGTAGTGAGAGAGGACATCCTTTCCTTGTTTCTGATCTTACTGAAAAAGTTTTGAGTTTCTCATCATTAAGTATAATGCTAGCTATAGAGATATTTTTGTATATATTCTTTAAAGGATTGTGGGAAGTTCCCGACTATTCTTTCTTCACTGAGAGCTTTCAGCATTTATGAAGCAAAAGTAGTCTTTACAGTTTTGTCAAATATTTTTTTCTGCATCTATAGTTATATTCATGTAAATTTTTAAGCAATTTTAAATATTTTTTACCTTAAAAATTATCTTGTGGATGTAAAGTATTTTATTAATTGATTTTAAAATGTTGAACCAACTTTGCATACCTGGGATAAATCATACTTTTTTATGTCATATAATTCTTTATATACATTGTTGGGTTTGATTTGTAAAAGATACTGGTCTGCAGTTTTTGTTTCATGTTATCTCTTAGTCCGGTCTTTGTCAGACAACGCTGACCTGATAGACTCAGTTAGGAGGTATTAACTCTCTTCCTTTTTCTGAAATCAACTCTAGAGAATTGTTACAATTTCTTCCTTAGATGTTCGGTAAAATTCAACAGTGAATTCATCTGGCCTGCTGCTTTCTGTTTTGGTAAGTCAGTAATTATTGATTCAACTTTTTTTTTTCTTTTTCTTTTTTTTTCTTTTTTTTTTTTTTTTTTGAGACGGCATCTTGCTCTGTCACCAGGCTGGAGTACAGTGGTGAGATATTGGCTCACTGCAGCCTCCGCCTCCCAGGTTCAAGTGATTCTCCTGCCTCAGCCTCACAAGTAGCTGGGACTACAGGCACACGCCACCATGCCTGGCTAATTTTTTGTATTTTAGTAGAGACGAGGTTTCACCATGTTGGTCAGGCTGGTCTCAAACTCCCGACCTCAGGTGATCCGCTCGCATTGGCCTCCTGAAGTGCTGGGATTACAGCGTGAGCCACCGCGCCCAGCCTCAATTTTTTTAATAGATAAAAACACATTTTTAAATTGAGTTGTTTGTTTCAGATTTTCTATTTTTTCTTGTATGAGTTTAGGCACATTATCTTTCAAGGAATTTATCTCTTTCTTCTAGGTTGTGTGTAGGCATAGAGTTATTATACTTTTAGTATATAGGATTGGAATGATGTTCCCTCTTTTAGTTCTTATAGTAATAATTTGTGTCCTTTATTTTAGTTAGACTAAGTTAAGATTTATCAATTATGTTAACTTTTTCAAAGAACCACCTGTTAGTTGTATTGATTTTCTCTATTGATTTTCTGTTTTTAATTATATTTCTGCTCTAATTCTAATTTTCTTTTCATCTTACTTTGAATTTAATTTGCTCATATTTTTCTAGTTTCCTAAGTTGTAAACTTAGAAAGTTCATTTTAGATCTTTCTTCTTTTCTAATATATGCATTAAATGCTAAAATTTTCCAATGCAAAAACACTTTTGCTACATTCCACAGTTCTCAAAAGTTGTATATTTATTTTCATTTAGTACAAAATATTTTAAATTATCTTGAGATTTATTCTGTGGCCCATATATTATTGTCTTGTTTAATCTCTAGAGATTTTGGAATTTTCCAGTTATCTCTCTACAATTAATATCTAGTTTAGTTCTATTGTTGCCTGAGAGCATACTTTGTATAATTTCTATTACTTTCAATTCATTAAGGCATATTTTATAGTCTAAAATATCACCTCTGCTGGTGACTTTTATATGTGAGCTTGAGAAGAATGTGTATTTTGCTGCTATTGGATGAAGTACACTATAAATATTAATTATATTTGCTTGATTGATGGTACTGTTAAGTTCAACTATGTTCTTAATTGCTGATCTTCCAGTCTGTTCAGCTTTTTATTTTCAGATGGAGTGGTAACTTCTGAGATGCTTATATGCAACACCAGAAACTGGAAGTTTGTGCAGCTTTTAAGATAATTTGAGGATGTGTTCCAACATCACAGTTCGCATTCATTAAAATACAATTTAATAAAAGATCAATTTTATATCTTTCCAAATTAATTAGTGTATGAGATTTAAATAACCTTGTGTAGGAATATCCTGATTAGATAAATTATTGGCCTTTAAGGTAATATTCATCAAACTTCATAATATTACATTATTTTAAAAGTTAGCAAGCAGTCTTATATATGTCTGTATGTATATATGTATATATATAACTAGCTCATACTAATGATCTACTCTACTATATATTACTATATATTATAATGTTTGAAAGATAGAAAAAGTATGAGAAAAATCAATGACACAATATCTTTGCTGATATTGAAAATATTAGCAACATGCAGTAATATAATGAGCAAAAACAGTAGCAATAACATATAGTGATTGCACCATACATATACAGGCATATCTTGTCTTATTACACTTTACTTTATTACTCTTCATGGATCTCGTGTTTTTTGCAAATAGAAGGTTTGTGGCAACCATGCATTCAACAAATCTATTGGCATTATTTTTCCAATAGCCTGTACTCACTTTCTGTCTCTGGGTCACATTTTGGTGATTCTGATAATATGTCAAACATTTGCATTATCACTATATATATTATGGTGATCTGTGATTAGTGATCTTTGATGTTACTAATTAAATTATTTGGAGGTACCATGAACCACACCCATATAAAATGGCAAACTTAATTGATAAATATAGGTGTTCTGACTGCTTCGTTGACTGAAATTTCCCTCATCTCTCTCCTTCTTCTCAGGCATCCCTGTTTCCTGATACACAAAAATATTGAAATTAGGTCAACTAATAATCCTACAATGGCCTCTAAGTATTAAAGTTTAAAAGAAGATTCACAAATCTCTTACTTTAAATAAAAAGCCAGAAATATTTAAGCTTAGTGAGGAAGGCATGTCCAAAGCCAAGACAGGCTGAAATCTAGGCCTCTTTTACCAAACAGCCAAGTTGCGAATGCAAAAGAAAAGCCATTGAAGAAAATTAAAAGTGCTATTCTAGTGAACACATAAATGATAGAAAAGGGAAACAGCTTTTTTGCTGATATGAAGAAAGATACAGATAAGGCCCTAACAAAACAAAGCCAGATTTTTCAACAGACACAAAACACTGTCTATTCGAATAAGATATCCTCTAGGTCTTTCATAGCTAGAGAGGAGAAGTGAATGACTGGCTTCAAAACTTCAAAGGACAGGCTATCTCTCCTATTAAGGACTGATGCAGCTGATGACTTTCTGTTGAAACCTCACTGAGGTTAAGGTGAGCTTAATGAGCGTAAATTGAATATTAGCAATATGCAGCAATACAACCAGCTGTTATGAAAATCCTAGCACCCTTAAGAATTATGCTAAATTGACTCTGCCTGTGCTCTGTAAATGGGACAACAAGGTCCAGATGACAACCCAACTGTGTACAACATGGTTTCTTGAATAATTTAAGCCCACTGTTTGTACCTACTGCTAAAAAAAAAAGATTCCTTTCAGAATATTACTGCTCATTGAAATGCATCTGGTTACCCAAGGGCTCTGATGGAAATATACAGTAGATTAAACATGTTTTCATGCCTACTAATACAACATCCATCCTGCAGCCCATGGATCAAGGTATAATTTTGACATTCAAATTTTATATTTCAGATGTACATTTTGTAAGGCTATAGCTGCCATAGACAGCGATTCCTCTGACAGATCTGGGCAAAGGAAATTGAAAATTTCCTAGAAAGGATTCATCATTCTAGATGCTAGAACATTTGTGATTCATCAGAGAAAGCTGAAATATGAACACTGACAAGAATTTGGAAAAAAGTTGATTCCATCCCTCATGGCTGACTTTGATGTATTCAGGCCTTCAGTGAGAAAAGTAACTGCAGATGTGGTGGAAATACTAAGATAACTACAATAATGGAGCCTGAAGCTATAACTAAGTTACAGAAATCTTGCGAAATACGTGAGTGAATGAGTATTTGTTTCCTATGGATGAGCAAAGAAAGTGGTTTCTTGAAAGGGAGTCTATTCCTTATGAAGATGCAATCAACAAAGCTGAAATAACAATAAAGGATTTGTAATATTACGTAGGCTTAGTTGGTAAAGCAATGGCAGGGTTTGAGAGGATTGACTTCAATTGTAAAAGAAACTCTATTGCAGATAAAAAGACATCACCTACTACAGAGAAATCACCCATGAAAGAAAGAGTTAATCAATGCTGCAAACTTCATTGTTGCCTTATTTTAAGAAATTGCCACAGCCTTCCCAATCTTCAGGGACCAATATCCTGATTACTCAGCAGCCATCAACATCACAGCAAGACTCTTCACCAACAAAAGGATTATGATTTGCTGAAGGCTCAAATTATCATTAGCATATTTTAGCAATAATGTATTTTTAAATTAAGGTATGTACGTTGTTTATTTACACAATTCTGTGGCAGACTTAATAGATTACAGCATAGCGTAAACAAAACATTTGTGTGCACTGGGAAACAAAAAAATGTGCGACTCCGTTTATTGTGATATTCACTTCATTGTGGTCATCTGGAAACCAACCTGCACTATCTCGGAGGTATGCCTCTTATAACAATAACAAATCTGGTGACAACAATATCAATGAACATAACAAATCCGATTAAATAATTATTATTTTTCTCTGTTACAAGGCTTACTAAACATCATAATAGTAGTACATATTTCAGCTCTGCTATTCCCTTGCTATTTTCTTGTTATTCTATATATAGTATCTTCAATACATGGTTACATTGTAACAACGTTTTAAATACACTTTTCTGTTTTGTAAGGGTGCCTTTAATTAAAACAAGGTATTATAACTGGTAACTCCACTCAAATAGGCAAATTAATTTGACTGATTTTACAATATGATATAAGGGGAAAAATTGCCTTTATGACTTCCTCTGTCTCACGGAGCTGTAATTCTGCCCTCAGTGTGCTGTGAGAATCAGGTGCTACATGTTACTCTGACAGAACCAGTGAGAATATTAATATTACTTAGTATAGAATATATTAGTAAAGGCTATTTAGTTCCTGATTGTTTGCATGAAGATAAATAATAACTTCTCATTTTTTTTCACATCTCAATAGATTATCTTGATGACGCAGCACTTTAGAGTCACTTTTTCTTATATTTTTTTTACCCATTTAAGATTTCCTAAAGACTCATATTTCGGCTCTAGTTTTTTATTTTTTATTTTTATTTTTATTTTATTTATTTATTTATTTATTTATTTTTTGAGACGGAGTCTCTCTCTGCTGCCCAGGCTGGAGTGCAGTGGCGCATCTCTGCTCACTGCAAGCTCCACCTCCCGTGTTCACGCCATTCTCCTGCTTCAGCCTCCCGCGTAGCTGGGACTACGGGCACCCGCCACCACGCCCGGCTAATTTTTTGTATTTTTTTTTAGTAGAAACGGGGGTTTCACCATGTTAGCCAGGATGGTCTCGATCTCCTGACCTCGTGATCCACCGCCTCGGCCTCCCAAAGTGCTGGGATTACAGGCGTGAGCGACTGCGCCCGGCCAGGCTCTAGTTTTTTATTTGATTGATTACTGATTAAAAATGTTTTGGATTCTTTCAAAATAACATGATTCTCAACAATCCCATATTATAATTAGGATTAACATCACAATTTTACAAATGAGAAAATTGAGCATCAGACTGGTTAAATTATTTACTGACATCCCTCAGCTAATAAATACTGAGTGAGCTTGATTAAAACAAAGTGTGATTTAGGGCACACATTGTCAAATATTGCACTATATTGTCTCTTCATTCAGGGATTATTCAGCAAGTAGTGGATAAATTCATACTGAGCTGATATATGCAATACAAGTGGTAATAATAACAAAAATAATTAGTCATAGTATTAGAAAATAATCTTTACTATGCATTTACTATATATGAAGTAAGGACTACGTGTTTTATATATTTTTTCTCATTTAATTTTCATTACAACCCTAAAAATTGGATACTCTTTAGCCAGCTCAGGCTTCCATAACAAAATATCATCAATTGGATAGCTAAGCAACAGAAAATTAA
This sequence comes from Homo sapiens, assembly GCF_000001405.40. Lineage (NCBI taxonomy): Eukaryota > Metazoa > Chordata > Mammalia > Primates > Hominidae > Homo > Homo sapiens. The sequence goes on along the minus strand of NC_000024.10, from coordinate 4,117,291 downwards.
TTTATTATAATACTGGGGACTAGAAGTATGAGATAATTATGACACTATGGTTGGATTCTAATGAGGGCTCTCTCCCTGGCTTCCAGCTGGCTACATTCTCTCTCTGTCATCATATGGTAGAGAGAGAAAAAAGAGACGGGGTGGTGGTTGTGTGTGTGTGTGAGAGAGAGAGAATTCTCTGATGTCCCTTTTGATAAAGGCACAAATTTGCCTCACTCTCATGACATCACCTAAACCTAATTATCTCCCAAAGACCTCTTCTCCAATGACCATTAATTGAGGATTAGAAATTCAAACATGAATTTGGGAGTGAACACAACATAGTACATAAGAACTCTTATCATTCTCATTTTGCAGATGAAGAAATAGATGTCAGAGATGTTAACTCGATAAAGGTTACTTAGTTTGTGATGGGCCAAGCAGGAACTTGAATATAGGCAACCCGAAGATGTATTGCAAGGAGATATTCAAAATGCGGATGAAGAAATGAGAGTTCGGTGAATATTGTAATTATTTTAATGGAATTTCCACAGTACTCCTGTCAGACCATTTGATTTACTTACTGCAATAAAAAACACATTTTAGTAGGAGGTTTGGTCTGTTGGAGAAAAAATTCATGGTTTAATTAATTGAAATTTTCACTTTTAAAGAGGTTTTTTTTTTTTCCTGAAGGCACACTGATAATACTAAATATTCAGCCCATGTAACATAGTAAAATGTTTAGTACATTAATCATAAGTGTGACTTTGAACACTATGGCTCTTTTGGGTACTCTTCAGGGGGAAATCAAGTGTAACATTTTCCAGGGATTCAGTCTAGAATTAATAATATGGATTATGTGTCACGTTTCATCTGTGCTAAATAAAAATGGGAGAAACATTGACTGTAGCTCTTGGCAGAGGATACGGAAGCAATGGTTAAATGTTATTTGAGTAATTATAATGCAAAATACCAATCAGAAGAACTGGTTATGAACTTATCTTTAAATAAAGATGCTCAATTATATTTACCAATACCACTAAATTAGTCATAAGCTCAGTTTGTTATTAGTTATAAATCAGATCATTGTAAAATTTAAAGCAGTAATTTTAATGAATAAAAAGTTATCTATTATAAATTGAATATTTTTGATAATTAAAAACTAAACGGCCTATCCAAATTATAGCTCTGTTGAAGTATGGTTTATAACCAGGTAAAGCATAACAGAACTTTGACTATCTCAAGGGTTTTTCTCTCTGGTGAAGTCATAATTGTTACGCCGATAACATTCCATTCCATTGTTTTTTACGTCTATACTTACTCTGATACTTATCATGCTGTCTTTATTAGTGTAGCTAATAAAATATTTAATATTAGTATATTAAATTAAAAATAATAAAACATTAAAGAGTCTGAATAAAATCATGCTTTATTGCTTCAACTTCTTATCTGGACTAAACCCATTTTATACTATTACAGAGAACAACATTCACAGTACCAAAGGAAGAGAAACAACAACACACACTAATTTATATTATATCACAAAGTTCCCCAGCATAAATGGCAATATTCTCTTTCCCAGGAAGCATCATAATAAACATTTCTTGAATTATAGAAATAAGCTTACATTTTGTAATTTCAGTTTTTCAAATGATAACCGACACCCCATACACAGCTACTAGCAACCAATTCTTTTCACAAATGCGATGAATCTAAATTCTTATTTTCTTTTGTTCTTCTTTTTCTTTTAGTTTCCCCTCTAGAGTCTCATAAACTATGGCTGTACCTATCTATATTTAATTCTGTGTGCACTATTTGTTTCTAATTTCAATTACGCATTCTTCTATCCATCTGAATTTAATTATAGCTTCATTACTTTCTTTTAATATTGTGTTACTTATAAAATTAATAATGCTTTTCTTTACAAAATAAAATAACTTCTCAGAATACTTGTTATAAAAGCAATAAAAGGCTGGTAATGCTTGGTCCTGACTAATCCCAGCACTTTGAGAGGCAAAGACAGGAGGATTGCTCAAGGCCAGGAGTTCGAGACTAGCCTTGGCAACATAGCAAGACCGCATTTCTTACAAAAAGAAAAAGCAATACACATTCACTCTAGACTAACTAGAAGTTGTAGGAAAGAAAAACAAAATGGGAACTACTCATAAGCTTTTCTCCAAGAAAAATAATGTTAGTATTTTTGAATACGTTTTTCCAGTCTCTCCCTCTTTCTCCTTCCCTTTCTCTCTCTCAAAAAGGATAAATAAATAGAGAGATGACACTGAAATAGCAGTATAGAGATAAAGATATAGAAACATAGAGATAACAGTCTTAATTATTTGTAAGTTCCATATTTGCCATTTTGTCTACTAACTAAAACTTGTTATACCCAAATTAATACAGCACTTTTACTGTCATTGAAGGATATGCACAGAGCAGTGAAAAAAAATTTCATCACTTCATGCACATATTCTCAGCTAAGGTCAAACAATGAGACACTACCTTGTTGTTTCAGCTCTCCTACTGTAAACAAGCATACGTTCACGGTCGATTTAGTGCCGTATTTTTTTTTCAATGTTGTGCTTTTTATATGTGATTTCACTGTCTAAAATGATCCCCAAGCACAGTAATAAGGTGACATTTACAGTTCCTAAGTGCAAGAAGGCTGTGATGTGTATTTTCGCCTCGTGGAGAAAATACCTGTGTTAGAAAAGTTTAATTCAGGCATGAGTCATAACGCTGCTGGCCATGAGTTCAATGTCAATACATCAACAGTATATATTAAATAAGCTGTCTTTAAACAAAAACACACATAAAACAATGCTATATATTGACTTGTTAACAAATATGTTGTGACCAGACGCTCAAAGAAACCCATTTATTTCCCCTAGGAGAAATGGATCCGTATTTACTAATTAAATGTTCACAGCAACTTTACAGAACAAAACTACAGTGAATAATAAAAATCAACTTTATATTTTTTACAAAGATCCTATAGTACACACGGATTTGTTGCACTTTTACTCTCTATATGTTTTTCTTTTCCCATAACATCACCTTTATTTATTTTTTAATTTTGTTTTTCTCTCCAACTTTTATTGTAAGTTCAGAGGGTACCTGTGCAGGTATATTACATGGGTTAATTGCATGTTGCAAGGGTTTAATGTACAGATTATTTTACTACTTGGGTAATGAGCACATCACCCGACAGGGAGTCTTATGACCCTCACCTTCCTCCTACCCTCCACCCTCAAGTAGGCCCCGGTATCTATTGTTTTTTCCTTTGTGTCCATATATACTCAATATTTAGCTCCTACTTATAAGTCAAAATATGCGGTATTAGATATTGTGGTTCTGTGTTAATTTGATTAGAACAATTGCCTCCAATTCCCTTCATATTGATACAAATGACATGATTTTATTTTTTCTTATAGCTACATAGGATTCCACTGTGTATATGTACCACAGTTTTTTTTTATCCATGCCACTGTTGATGGGTATTTAGGTTAACTCCATGTCTCTGCTATTGTGAGTAGTGCTGCAATGAACATATACATGCATGCTTATTTATAGTAGAAAGTTTTATATTCCTTCGGGTATATATCCAGGAATGGGATTGCTGCATTGAATGGTAGTTCTGTTTAAGTTCGTTGAGAAATCCTCAGACTTCTTTCAACAGTGGCTGAACTAATTTGCATTCTCGCCAGCAGTGTATAAGGGTTCTCTTTTCTCCACAATCTCACCAGCATCTTTTTTTTGTTTTGTTTTGTTTCGTTTCTTACTTTGTAGTAATAGCCATTCTGACTGGTGTGAGATTGTAAATTATTGTGGTTTTAATAAGCAATTTGCTAATAATTAGTGATGCTGAGCATTTTTTCATATGCTTTTTGGCCACATGTATGTCTTCTTTTGAGAAGTGTTTGTTCAAATCTTCAGCCCAATTTTAAAAAATGGGATTGTTTGATTTTTGCTTGTTGATTTGTTTAAGTTACTTATAGATTCTGGATATTAGACCTTTGTTGGATGCATAGTTTGCAAATATTTTTTCTCATTCTGTAGGTTGTCTATTTACTCTGTTGATAGTTTCTTTTGCTGTGCAGGAGCTCTGAAGAGCTTCAATTAGGTCTCATTTGTCAATTTTTGCTTTTGTAACAATTGCTTTTGCAGTCTTTGGCATAACATCAATTTTATTGACTACATAAATACTCTTTTAATGTTTGATGCAAACAAATCTGTAAGAACATCTATTAATTTTTTATGTATCTTGTTTTTCTTTTAACTATTAAAACAAGGTTCTATGCTACTCCTCTTTCTCTAAGATTTTGCTACTTGATGACCTTCTCAGAAATGTGCAAGACAAAGCTGAAGTTAGTTTTGTTTTCTTGTTCTTTAATGGCTTATGCGTTTCTCTTTTTAACTTGTTCCTTTCCTTGGAACTTAAAAATAACATTTTTTTTTCAAAGCAATAGCAGCTCATCTTCTTCGCCTTGCAAAAATTATTTTTTTTCTTTTCTTTTTTCTTCCTTAGCTATAGGTTCTGGTTCATTTCTATTTTTTTCTCATAACTTATGCTTAATTAATTAATTGTTAGTCTCTTATTTTCCCTTCATCATTGTTTAAAGCATGTCTTGATAAAACTCTCTTATGCTGTTTTCTGTATTATTTTACATACTCAATATTTTTTCTCACATTCCTTTAGTCAAATGCTGCTAGCTCAGTTATGTCAGATTCTCTTTCTTCTTTGGTTTTCAGCATTGGCTTAGTCATGATAACATGATTTTTGTTTTATGACCTTATCTTTGGCAAATGTCTTAAATATCTTATTTCTTATAATGAATTGTACAATCTGTATTCTCTCAGAAAGCAGTCTTTCTTTAAATAAAAATTGTTCAAGATGGCATTCTACATTTTAATTACTTCTTAAACTACCTCACAGCTCATATGTACCAGCCCTATTGTCAAGCAAATGTATCTTTGTTCCTGTGATGGGTAATTTTATGCGTCAACTTGACTGTCTTAATGAACATCCAGATAGCTAGTAAAATATTATTTTTGTGTATGTTTGTGAAGCTTTTTCCAGAAGAGACTGGTATTTGAGTGAGTATGCTGAATAAAGATGATCCACCATTACCAATTTGAATGGGCATCATCCAGTCCACTGAGGCTCAAATAGAATAAAAAGGCAGAAGAAGAGTGAGTTCACTCTAATTTTCCTTGAGCTGGAATAGCCATCTTCTGCTGCCCTTGGGCATTGAAACTGCTGGTTCTTGGACCTTCAGACTGTGGGACATATTAGTGCTGCCTCTTCTTGGTTCTCAGGCCTTTGGCCTTGGACTGAGAGTGATATTATCTGCTCCCCTGGTTCTCATATGTTTGGACTCAGACTAAATTATACCATTGGCTTTTCTGATTCTCCAGCTTGAAGATGGCATAGAGGAAATTCTTGGCTTCCATAATCACAGGAGCCAATTCTCACAATAAATCCCCACTTGTATGTATGTATATATGTATGTATGTATTCTGTTGTTTCTGTTTCTCTGGAGAACCCTGACTAATACAGTCCCCATATGAAAAATATTTGACAATTTAACACAATCCTACTTGTGCAACATTCTTTGTAAATAACTGTATTGTTCAATCCAAACTTCCTTTCTCATTTATGGATTTATGGGATGAGCACATTTCTGAAGAAAATCTATCTTATATCCACTTAGTAGAACCACCAGCTATGATTTTCAAATGTTACGGGTTATCTTTTATTGATGCATTTTCAAGTGTCAGTCTCATTTCTGTACATGAGTTGAGAATCATGTTAGTTATTTACTCATAAAAATTAAGACAACAACAAATAAACCTCTTTAATAAGACTAATTATATAGGAAATCAGCATAATTCAGCCTATATGTAATAAACATAATACACTTATTTAGAAATTAATTAGATTTCCAACACATACTCTCTTTGTGTATCTACTTTTAATCATGTGTAAAATATAACTTTACTACAAAGACTTTACAAGGCCATGCCTAACCTTATTCTACCACAGCTCCCTCAATACACTTATTCTCATTTAATGTGTGCAGAAAGCAAAACAAAAATACCACCATTGACTCTTCTTCTCCCTTTTATCTCCCAATGTCCTTTATTTAACCTCTCTTTTATTTAATTCTGCTCCAAATCTTAATTGATTTATGTGGTTTCCTTTATAGATTGCTTTTGAAGCTGATGAATGGCACTAAATATCGGCCTCAAATATGAAATATTAATATGTTATTAAATAATATCAGGGGAATAGCACTTTTCTGTCCTGTGTTATTCAGGCCTCTACAAGGAAATCACTTCTATTCCCTGAACTGCCTTTAGGGCAGTTCTATATGACATGTGCACACTCACTCAATACTTGCTCACAACTTCCATCTCCTGCACTGCTTGTGCCTCTTTACAACTCAAGCAGACCTAATGGATTTTTTTCCCATTTCTCAACATAGATAATGTTAGCTTAACTTAAAGTAGTCCTACACTCTGCCTAGATGTCATATGAGTAGTCATTTCTATCAGGTATAATACATCTACATCTACCAGGTATAACTAATTAGTTAAGCTGTCTCAACTTCTTGAAACAAACTAAAGCTCTGGTTATCTACATGAAAGTGACTGATTGTAAGGACACAGAGAAAAATAAAGAAAACATTCAGAGGGAATCTATTGGTGGGCAATCTGAAATATTCCAGAAATGGTAAATACAATTAGCTCAAGAGAGTAGACACCGTTGATTGAGTACCAATATAGAGACTTATTTGGCTTCAGGCATCTGTCCTTTACAATATTTAAAGTAGTTGAAATTAAGACTTTAGAAAACTACTAAATCTTCAACTATTACCAAAATGTCACTTCAAGTGAACCAAATCAAGGACTACTGCATATAGAATTGAAACAAATGTATACAACTGATGGAACTTTTATCAGTTGTTTCAGCATATTCTTTTTTAATTTTTAACTTTTGTGGGTATTGTTGTTGTATATATTTATGGAGTATATGAGATGTTTTGATACAGGCATGCAGTGCATAATAATCACATTATGGAGAATGGGATACCATCCACTCAAGCATTTATCCTTTGTGTTACAAACAATACAAATTATGCTCTTTTAGTTATTTTAAAATGTACAGCTAAATTATTGTTGTATTACTGTCTATAGTCACCCGATTGTGCTACCAAATAATAGGTCTTATTCCTTCTTTCTAACTATTTTTTGTACCCTTTAATCATCACCCACAACCTCTCCAATTCCCCACTATGCTATCCAGCCTCTGGTAACCATCCTTCTACTCTCTATATCTATGAGTTCAATTATTTTGGTTTTTAGATACCACAAATAAGTGAGAACTTACAAAGTTTGTCTTTCTGTGCCTGGCTTATTTCACTTAGTATAATGACCTCCAGTTCTGTCCATGTTGTTGCAAGTGACAGAATCTTTTTCTTTGTGGCTGAATGCTACTCATTTGTGTGTAAGTACTACAATTTTCTATCCATTCATGTGTTGATGGACACTTTGGTTGCTTCCAACTTTTGGCTAACAGTGTTGCAACAAACATGGCAGTGCAGATATCTCTTCAATATATTAATTTTCTTATTTTAGGTATATACCAAGCAGTGGATGGGTGAATAATATGGTAGCTCTAGTTTTAGATTTTTGGGGAGCCTCCAAACTGTTCTCCATAATGGTTGTGATACTTTACATTCCCAAGAACAGCGTAAAAGGGTTCCCTTTTCTCCACATCCTTGTCAGCATTTGTTATTGCCTGTCTTTTGGATGTAAGCCATTTTAACAGAGGTGAAATGATATTTCATTGTACTTTTGATTTGCATTTCATTTTCATATGCATGTTAGCCATTTATATGTCTTCTTTTGAGAAAAAGCCAATTCAAATCTTTTGCCTATTTTGATCAGATTATTACATTACTTCCTGTAGACTTGTTTGAGCTTCATATGTGTTCTTGTCATTAATCCCTTGTCACCAGTTCATGGTGAAGGCCAGTAATACCTCTGTTGTATTTCACCAGGATTCTATTAAGTAGGATAAATTAGTTAAAATTTATGTACATCTTCCGTAAGTTCATAAATTTTATTTATGAAGAAGATTTTATAAATTTAGATAAACATACATATAAGTCATAAAGGCACTATAGTAAGCCTTGTGTCATGTGCTGGTTTTCCTATGCACTAAGTTTTCTGGTTATAGAATTTAAGATGACTGATTTGGGAGCTTAGTGGAGTGTTACTGACTGTTAATTGGAAACATTCTCTGGATATTAAATAATATTTGACAATTTTTACTAGCGTTTCTGTTTAAAAATGCAAACATTGTTGTATTTCTTTGTTTTGCTTAAACAAAAAACTTATTCATATATGATTTGCCAGAAATTAGAATATTTATTCTGTAAATTCAATACAGAATTTTATGACAGCTTCCTGGTGTTTGCATCCTTGGGCATAATTTGTGTTTCTAGGAAATAAGGAAGTTAGGTTGATTAAGAATTTAATTACCTCACATTAATAATGCCAAGTTTCCTGCTTAGTAGATCCTTCATATCCTCAAGGAAATCAAACTGATACTATATAGAAAATCAGAGACATTATATCACAATAGTTATGTCACAGTGGCCTTTTTCATTTTTCTACAGATTATCTTCTATAAAAGCCATTAAAAGCAATACATTGAATCGTTCTTCTGGGAGCAAACTGTAAACTTTTTAAGAGGAGCTCTTAATCTGGGGAAATTCAGGAATATGCAAATGTGATTGTAGAAAAAACTGTATTTCTTCACTAACCTGAACATTAGTATTCTCCTCTATTATGGATGTAAACAACAAATCACAGCAAAATTAGTTGTCCTATGACTTTGTTACTCATAGAAACCATGAGTATTTTTACATCATATTACTCTTGCTGCATGAAAGATCATGAAATATCATTTACACTTATCACAACTCCAAATTGATGTCAGCTAGTATATCTTGTTAATTAATGGGATAACACAAATAATATATATTCTTATTTCCATAACTATATTACCATAAAAATATTTCCGTAACTATATTCCCACATAATTTGTTTTCTTCATGAATCTGTGTATTTTATTTTATCTATTTTAATGTGTGAAACCCAAATATCTGAGACAGGTCTTGGTTAATTTAGAAACTTTATTTCGTCAAGGTTAAGGATGTGTACCCATGACACAATCTCATGAGGTCCTGACAACACTTGCCCAAGGTAGCCAGAGCACAGTTTGGTTCTATACATTATAGGGGGACATGAGACATCAATCAACATATGTAAGATGAACATTGGATCAGTCCAGAAAGTCAGGACAACTCGAAGCAAAGGAGGGAAACTGAAATCAGAGATGGGGCTTCCAGCGCATAGGTAGATAAGAAAAAAAAAATGTTGCATTTTTTTGAGTCTCTGATTACCTGTTCAAAAGGTGGCAATCAGATATGCATTTATCTCAGTGAGCATAGGGGTGACTTTGAATAGAATGGGAGGCAAGTTTGCCCTAAGCAGTTTCCACTTTGACTTTTCCCTTCAGCTTAGTGATTTGGGGTCCTCAAGATTTAATTTCCTTTCACATTCCTCCCCGACTCCCCGCCACCCCGCCTTTTCTTTTTAAAAACGTTTCGGAGAAAGCATTTTAGAAGAAAAGAGTCTCTGGACTCAGATTATATCTGATCTCTCGTAGTTAGTGTGTTTATTCCTAGACAGGTAGATCCCAAGTTATTAGGAAAGCTCATTTTTAGCAGGTTGGGAAGTCTCATGTTCTTTGGAGATAAAAGAAGAAGAGGTAGGGAGAAAAACAACCACAAACAAAAGAACAATCCTGGAAAATCAATATAGGTCACATTACTCTGAAGTCCATACATCAGTAGGAAGGCATGAAAGTGGTTTATGCATGTAAATAGGTTTCTGTTATTCTCTTCTGAAGTTTAAGCTGTCTAGCTTCAGTTTTCAGGACTTTCAGAAAGCATAGCTTAGTTTTCAGTGATTCCAAAATAGGAAAAATGGGGGTAAGAAGAAGGAAATAATTGAAAACATTATTATGAAGACTTGTAGCCAAGCATAGTTAAAATTCAGTCCAAACTGTAGAAAGTAATAAAAATTGAAAAACATTAGGCAATACTTGAATCTAAAAACAGGTGTACTATAGCTTTTGAAACATAATTTTTCTCTTTCCAGTTTCTCATGTTTACTAAAGAAAAATCATGGTAGTACTGATTTGCTGTATTATACTAGGCTTATTTGCATACAGTGCAGCAATAATAATTATTTTTATATAGGCTTTAAATTGGCTTTGATGGAACTTTGTTCTATAGAACAATCTCAGATAAGACTTTTTTAAATCCAAGCCCAGCCATGGATTTGTACAGTCAAATATCTATGACTTGGGTGAATTCCTCTACTCTCGAGGTTCCAAGATAAACTGGGGGATCCTGGGCTTGTCAGAAAGTGACATTCTTTACTTACCACAGGTCTTTAACCCTGTACAGGAACTGTGTAAACAAAGATATGAGGCCAGTTTTCCCAAGGGGTTTTATTTGCTCCATAAATCAAGTTCAATTCCTTAAAGGAGAATGCACCATTTCAGTCAAAGCCTTGGTAAAATAACCAGTTTTTCCAATTGTGGCCTGTTATAAATAAAAGCAGATTCTTACTGTACTTATGCAAATAACTGTATTGCCATAGGTTAAGAATACTCATGAAGAGTTTCCAAATTTTGGAGAAGTCAGGTAGAGTGAAACAAGTATGTTCTAACTTTTGTTCATAAGAGTATACTAAATCATTAAAATCTGTCAATAGCTCCAAAGAAAAGTTACTTTTGACTCTGAAAAAACAAAACCAACTATCAGCAACATTTCAAGCAAAAAGTCAAAAACATTACTTCAGTCTTCTATTAGTTCAATCCATGTAGTTAATTTCTGTTCTGCTTGATATTCATGAAGACTTCAGTTTTAGGGCAGCCATAGTGAAAGACACAATTGACAAGGACATTTACTATGTCTGAGGCACACAATAATTTAACACAATAATTATAATTATTACTGATAATGCTAAGTCATATGAGAATTACAGGAGTTTCACATAATTTTGGAACACATACCAATAACATATTTATATAAATACAGCCAAAAATAAACCAAACACCATTTCGTATTTGACAATGTTTTTATTCTATTCTGATGTCACAATCTCCAAAGTTATCAGAAACCTGCATCTGAGAGCACCTGTTAGAGTTTTATAGCTGATTATATAACCACCCTTTAAAGAGGACCAAAATAAGACAACAATTGTCCATGGATGACAAAAAGTTTTAGGGCAGCCATAGAGAAAGACACAATTGACAAGGAAATTTGTTATAATTCTAAGTCATATGAGAATTGTAGGAGTTTCACATAATTTTGGAACACATACCAATAACATATTTATACAAATACAGCCAAAAGGAAACCAAACACCATTTCGTATTTGGCAATGTTTCCTGTATAATTTTTATACCAAGTAAGCCAAAAGTATGTCATTTTTGAACTTTAGGGAAACTAATATCTTAAAGGATTAATTAGATCAGAAAAGGCATAGTTTATAATTTTGTTTTGGAATGTTTGTCAAATATCAAAGGTTTAAAACACTTGATATCATAGGTTATTTTAAAATAAGATAATCATTTCACAAGTGATAACTTGAGTTTTTTAAAAAAGGCAAAACTTTCATTCTTTGAGAAATGAGACTTAATTTTCCAAACAGTAAGCCCTAATGAAAAAAAGCATAAAGCCAATTAAATTTGTTTTTGAAAATTTACAATCTATAAAATTTTAATCTTAACCTTAAGATATAACTTCCATAAGCCTTTTATAACCTTTATTAAAGAATTGGTTAATGTTTTTAGAAAACCTTGTTAATCTGACACAGGGGCCATATGCTGGTCTTGCATTAGTGTGCCTTTGACATTCATGATTGATTTATAGAGAAACTGAACTTATTTTATCCCTCAAAACAAGCCCTTACAATCTCACATGCCCACCCCTTCCATGATACTCCTTGGAACTTGAGGAGTTGAATAGCTTTAATTTCTGGCCTTGTGTCTCAGAAATGCAGTTTATTTTGATCAACATCTTCTACCAGCCCTGATGACAAGGCTTCAATTGCTGTCAGTGTTTAGGATTCCGCAGGACTTGATATCTTTTTTAGACCCAGGAGTCAAAGCATTGTAACTCAGTGTCACAAGGACTTTAAAAGCCCACAAAGAAAAATAAATGGATGTAATAACTGTAATTTTATTTAAAAAAATTTTAATCTCAGTTGTTTTTCCTAAGCAAAGCAAAACTTAATAATAATGACATAGGACTTTTTTCAATAAATTGTAAAATCTATTAGGCCAGTTACCAAAAGGCAAAAGAAAAGACCTTCTGCACTGCACATAATATTATGCTGGAAAAAAATATTTTCTTCATACCTTTAAGAAAATATTGTTAGCATCAGGCCACAAGAAAAGGAACTTGAGGAAAAAACTTATATGAGCTGAAAAATTAGTTGGAGAGTGTTACGATTTCTCACCCTTTAAAAGGGGAGAGAAAACTGAAAATGGTGAGATACAATAAAAGTTGAACTTTGAGTTCAAACAATTAAATTTCTCATAATTTATTACAAATAAATCAATCCCTTAAGAAAATTTTATTGTTCTAACCAATTATTTTGTGTATAAGTGTTTTTTTTACATCAAGCCCAATCACTAGAAAGACTATTATAATTACTCTTTAATCATAGACAACCTGACTATATGAAAGATTTTAAATTTTTTATATAAATCCTCCTATTTTGAGTTACAGAGACTGTTCATGCATGCTTGGAATTTCTGGTTTGTCCTGAACATCTCTCTTTCTTAAACATCCAGTCATATTATTCTAATACTAAATTTACCATACAAGATTTCTTTCTCATATAAAATTATTTCTCTTTAAGCTTTCTTATCAAAAGAAAAAAAACCCTATCTCTCTATTTTTATAACTTTCTTATATCTCTGCTGTCTCCTGGTTCCTTTTACCTTACTTCATAATCTTAAAATAAGCTTTAAATTCGAAAAAAAATTGCTCACTTTTCTAAAGAGACACAGTTTTTTTAGAAAAAAATATTTTTCTACAAATGTTATTGGAAAATACACAATGAAATATCTCTCATTTAATTTAATGTAGCTTTTGATTCTAAATTATGATCAGTTTGTCTACAAGTATTTATCTTATTACATTTATCTAATTATTTTATTTTAATTGTTTATCTAAATTATTAATGAAAGCTGAACTTATGAAACTGCCATTGCAAAATTATAACTGAGACATCTGGCTTCCAACCTTCAAGCTGTCCTTGTTCATTCATGATCATAGGCCAAACTAACTTTGGAAGAAACTTATTATATATTTTAGCTTTGAAACAAAGATGATAACAGTCCATTCCAAAAACAAACCTTACTGCCTGTGGACTAGACCGCCTAAAGCCACAGAATTAGAAGTTATAGTAATCTTATTAAATTCAAGATGCAGCTGTTTTCATTAAACCAATATCAATGTATTATTTATTAAAGATTGCACAAGCAAAAATCATTCTTTTTAACCCGTATTTCAAATTTTAACACCTTATAGTATTTGGCAGAGATAAGTATAAAAATGCTTGATTAAAAAATGCAAACAAAATTGTATGCTAGCCATTAAGACATTTCTAATATTACTTTAACAATAATTTTAAACCTAGCTTATTTCTTAAAGATTTTACTTGTTACATAAACTCGAAAAAGCATCCGACTAGTATTTTCTTTTTTCCTGACAAAGTATTTGATTCAACCACTTTTATTTTAAGCCAATTAATTAATTAGAGCTCTTTATATATTTTCAGTAATAAAACATTGGGTACAAAACACATATATACATAGACATATTAGGCATACCAATAGAAGTACATCTTATAGATTCATAAAATTTTTTTCCCTATCTTAGACTTTTAAATTTTTGATAAACAGTTTCAAAATCTTAGACAATTTTCAGCTGAATAGCCTTAAATTCGCATATTAAAGGAAATAACTAAGGTGAGAATCAAATAGCAAAATTTACATCCTAAGGTACAGAGTGAAAAAGTTTGGTGTGCTCGAGGGAAATTAAAATGGACTTAATTGACAATTGAACATAAAATTATAGAAATTATAAATGCCTCTTAAATATATACACACATCATATACACACACATACAAAGATCCTATAACTTTTACTTCAGAACTGTAGCCATGAGGTAAATACAAATTCATCAGCATGAAAAAAAAAAAAAAAAAGAAAACCTGTTAAATCCAAACAGCAGTTTTTATCTTAATAGAAAAATAGCAGTTTTAAAGCAAGAAGGAAAAAAAAAAAGAGAAAAAGAGGACTTGGGAACTCTGTAGTTTGCAGGTCATCCTTAGGGCTCGTTTTCCTTAATGTAAATGTGCATAAAGAACATATTACTTCCATTTCACATAAGCTCTGGCAAGTAGAGGTGCCATAAAACCTAGAGTGCTCACAAGGGGGTCATTCACTTTGCTTTCTCCTCATTCTTAGATAGTTTCCCACTTCTTTTTCTTAAAAGAAGGAACTGAGCTGTGGCCTAGGGTTTTTTTCTGGTGGGTAGATGTGTGCTGCTTGTGTGCAGGACTCCACATTATGTCACCACTGAGTCATTTTTACCCTCTTAAAATATGTCTCAGTGTCTCTCTCCAGAGATATATGACCTCTGAGAGGGCTCAAAACAACAGGTGACCAGCACTTACATGCATTCCCTGGATAAGCCTTTTTTTTTTTTCAATTAATTTTTGTTGGGGATTTTTCTGTAGGGCTGCTGCATGTCACAGCAGGTCAACTTCCAGACACTCTCACAAGGCCCTCGTCACCCAGGGATACCTTTAAGCTAGAAAGAGCAAACTGCTCTTTCTTTCTGGAGCTGAGAAAACTCAGTCTGTCATTTGCCTATAAAAAGAGCAGTTCACTTTATCATGCAAATGAGCAGACAAGTCAAATCAAGATGAATTTTGGGAGAAAAAGCAATAGAGAAGACCTTATAGAATTCATCTCTGAACTAGAATTAGGATCTTTTAACTACACCTTCCTAAAATTAAAATAAAAAAATAGCCGAGACCAATTCCTGTATACTATGCTCAGCTACCCCTAACTTTGTAGCTCTCATCTGCCATTACACAGGCCAAGATCAAATCTTCTCACAGTACAAAGTCATCTCTGGTACCCCCAAAGCCAAAGAGGTAAGGTCATGCAACACAGAAAAACAGCTTTCGCCCTAAGAAGAATGTGTCCATGACTCTTGAAACTCCACAAGGAAAACAGAACACCCAAAAGGAATGAGTGGTGTCTTTGTTCTGAATTTTTTAAAGGGGTTCCAGTCATTACAAACTTTCTCTAGATTTTTTGGTACTGCAGATGCAAAGGAGAAAAGAGGTATAGGCTGAAAGAAAAGTAAATAAAATAACTTTTTTTTTTAAGACAGGAAGAAAACACAGAAACCAAGTCCATGGGGTTTTTGTTTTGTTTTATTTTTTGGAGTTGTTTTCCCTATTTTGCAGCTGTGAGACATTTTAGCCAAATTAGAGAGGCTTTGTTACCCATAATTTGGAATTCTCACTTGAATCTGACCTAGTCGGGAAGAGTTGGTCAAATCCAATGGGAGAAAGACTGGAACAAACAACAACAACAAAAAACCCAACAGTATAATCACTGAGTGCTCTAATGGTAGGAAGAAGTTAAGCTGGGCTGGTTGTTAAACTTTAGCCAAGACAAAACCCTAATTGAGCTAATTACCTAAGGATGGGTCTCAGGCTGAAGACTGCTCTCTCTCATCCTAGAAGCAGGAAAAACTCAAACTCATCTTCCCTGCTGGGAGTGAGCTCAAACTATATAAAGGATTTACCTGCTTTTGATTATCACGGAAGCAGGAAATCTTGTCTTCCTTGTTGCATGCAAGTAAAGCTCAAAAAAAAACAGGAGTTGTAGAGCAAAATAAATGTTAGATGTTGACCAAATTTGGGGAGATAAGGGATTCTCTGGAGGGGGTGCTCACAGACCTCAGCAAATTGTCCTATTGGTTTGAGCCATAAATTTAACTCATGCTGGTACCAAGCACCAACAGGAGATATGACAAAGGTCAGAGGCAACTCCACTGAGAATCCCTTATGGTTACCAAAATGTGAACTCTGAATATCTGAGGCAGGTCTCAGTTAATTTAGAAAGTTTATTTTCCCAAGGTTGAGGATGTTTGCCCATGACACAGCCTCAGGATGTCCTGACAACATATTCCCAAGGTGATCAGAGCAGTTTCGTTTTATATACTTTAGGGAGAAATGAGACATCAATCAACATATGTAAGATGAACATTTTTAGACAAACTTTTTAGTTTGGTCTGGAAAGGCAGGACAACTTGAAGTAAAGTCAGGAAACTTGAAATGGGGACGGGGCTTCTAGGTCATAGGTAGACAAGAGACAAATGATTGCACTTTGGGACGGTTTCTGATCAGCCTCTCCAAAGGAGGTAATCAAATACACATTTACCTCAGTGAGCAGAGGGGTAACTTTGAACAAAACGTGAAGCAGGTTTGCCCTAAGCAGTTCCAAGCTTGGCTTTTTTTTTTTTTAGCTTAGTGATTTTTAGATCCCCAAATTTATTTTTCTTTCACAAAAACATTATTCTCATAAGAGTTCCATGAGATTTAGCCAAATTCCAAAGAGGTGTACAGCACAAAATATTTTAAGTAACTTCTCCTTAGAGAAAGAGACTTATTGCCAAGAACTAGAAGAAAGACAAATTTTTCTACAGTTTCCAACCTTCCTCAAAGTGCCCAGAAACCATTTAAATCCTAAAACAAATCTTCAGGCATATCATTTATAAAAGGCTAGTCTTATTTTCTAATCCACCAAATATGAGGAATACCAAAATATATTGTGTCCAGAATTGGTGGGCTCTTGGTCTCACTGACTTCAAGAATGAAGCCGCGGACCCTCGCGGTGAGAGTTACAGCTCTTAAGGTGGCGCGTCTGGAGTCTGTCCCTTCTGATGTTCAGATGTGTTCGGAGTTTTTTCCTTCTGGTGGGTTCATAGTCTCGCTGGCTCAGCAGTGAAGCTGGAGACCTTTGCGGTGAGCGTTACAGCTCTTAAGGCAGCGCGTCTGGAGTTGTTCATTCCTGACGGTGGGCTCGTGGTCTCGCTGGGCTCAGGAGTGAAGCTGTAGATTTTCGCGGTGAGTGTTACAGCTCCTAAAAGCAGCGTGGACCCAAAGAGTGAGCAGTAGCAACATTTATGGCAAAAAGCGAAAGAACAACCCTTCACGTTGCCAAGGTTGGCTCGGGCAGCCTGCTTTTATTCTCTTATCTGGCCCCACCCACATCCTGCTGATTGGTAGAGCCGACTGGCCTGTTTTGTCAGGGTGCTGATTGGTGCGTTTACAATCCCTGAGCTAGATACAAAGGTTCTCCACATCCCCATCAGATTAGTTAGATACAGAGTTTCCACACAAAGGTTCTCCAAGGCCCCACCAGAGCAGCTAGATACAGAGTGTCAATTGGTGCACTCACAAACCTTGAGCTAAACACAGGGTGCTGATTGGTATATTTACAATCCCTGAGCTAAATATAAAGACTCTCCACGTCTCCACCAGACTCAGGAGCCCAGCTAGCTTCACCCAGTGGATCCCGCACCGGGGCTGCAGGTGGAGCTGCCTGCCAGTCCCGTGCCGTGCGCTCGCATTGCTCAGCCCTTGGGTGGTCGATGGGACTGGGTGCCGTGGAGCAGGGGGTGGTGCTCGTCGGGGAGGCTCTGGCCGCACAGGAGCTCATGGAGTGGGTGGGAGGCTCAGGCATGGCGGGCTGCAGGTCCCGAGCCCTGCCCCGCGGGAAGGCAGCTAAGGCCCGGTGAGAAATCGAGCGCAGCGCCGGTGGGCTGGCACTGCTGGGGGACCCAGTACACCCTCCGCAGCCACTGGCCCGGGTGCTAAGTTCCCCACTGCCCGGGGCCAGCAGGGCTGGCTGGCTGCTCCGAGTGCGGGGCCCACAAAGTCCATGCCCACCCGGAACTCCAGCTGGCACGCAAGCACCGCACGCAGCCCCGGTTCCCACTCGCGCCTCTCCCTCCACACCTCCCTGCAAGCTGAGGGAGTGGGCTCTGGCCTTGGCCAGCCCAGAAAGGGGCTCCCACAGTGCAGTGGGGGCTGAGGGGCTCCTCAAATGCCGCCAAAGTGGGAGCCCAGGCAGGGGAGGTGCCGAGAGCAAGGGAGGGCTCTGAGGACTGCCAGCACGCTGTCACCTCTCAATATGAGGAATATCAAAAGCTCCACAACATGAAATATCTTCCTGAACTAAAAGGGCCTGCAATTCCCAGCATAACTTCCAACTTTCAAGACTTTTAGTCCAGTTTAACTGATGCAAAGCATTATGAAATTATGTATATTGATAATTGCCCTTAAGTGGAGATATGAATGTTCTTGAATTCTCATGGGATGTGTGACATTGAAATAATTTTGGAGGATGGGTTCTTAATTTTTTCATTAGTAAACAGAGTACATAATACTTGTACAGTAAAATTTAGAACTTTTTTAGTTGTTTGTAAGGGCCAAATGAATTTCAATTATGTGTAAGTAAAAACTCTTGAAAGTAGTCCATGTCATCAACAATATAAGTAGGAGAAGGAAAGGATAAATAGACTAACAGAAGCAGGATTTAATGTTGAGCAACCCTTAAATAGAAAAAAATGGCATATAATGATAATATCAGACTTGGATACAAATTACCTAGGATATGGCGGAGAAAGGAAGGTGGCAAATAAAGGGCAGTGATTGTTGCCGCACAGAAGCTTTGAAATGCAGAATGCAATAGATAGTAGTGTGGAATCTATATGCTGAAGAACTAAAACTCTTATTATAAAAATTATTGTCAAAAAGGTTTATTTTAGGAAACTATTATTAAGTTTGATTATAATGAATTTAAAGGCCAAACAGAATAAATCAGAGACAATATAGAAGGCTTAAAACATATTTTATAGGATAACATATAGTACCTACTATTTTCCCTAGGACATGCTCATACATGCATGCATTCCTTCATAAAAATAATTTACTTATTTGATCATACAAAAATATTAACTACTACAATGTACCTTCCCTCATGGAAGGTACTTTCAAGTGGTAATAAATAGAAAATAAAACTATAAATCATATAATTTTATATTGAGAGTGTGTGAGAAATTTAAAATATTATCACTCGAGGTAATAATATTTTAGCTAAGTCATGAGCAACAAATATATAGAGCCTTTTATATGCCAAAAACTCTGCTAGTCACATACAATGCAGATTACATTCAAAAGGGAAGACATATTTAAAAAGCTAAACACAGCCAGGTGCGGTCAATCATGCCTGTAATCCCACCACTTTGGGAGTCCAAGGCGGGTGGATCATCTGAGGTCAGGAGTTCAAGACCAGCCTGGCCTACATGGTGAAACCCTGTCTCTACTCAACATTAACTGGGCGTGGTGGCAGGCGCCTGTAATCTCAGCTACTCAGGAAGCTGAGGCAGGAGAATCTCTTGAACCCAGGAAACAGAGGTTTCAGTGAGCCGAGATTGCACCACTGTACTCCAGCCTGGGTGAAAGACTGAGACTCCGTCTCAAAAATAAAATAAAATAAAATAAAATATTAAACAAATAAATAATTTTATATAACAGATGTAAAAAACACTAGCAATAAAAAAAAAGGGTCTAAAACAAAAAAAGTTATTCAGTGGTGATTATTTTTGTATATTTTTTAATTTTTTAATTTTTAATTTTTGTGGTTGCATAGTACATGTATACATGTATGGGGCAGATGAGTTATTTTGATATATCATATCATGTCAGACATATAATGTGATATAAGCAGATCATAAAGAATTGGATATCCATCCTCTCAAGCATTTATCCATTCAGTTGAGATCAATCCAATGACACTCTTTTAAATTATTTTAAAATGCAAAGTTCATTTATTATTGACTATGGTCACGTTGTTGCGCTATCAAATAGTAGGGCTCATATATTCTTTCTGTTTTGTTTTGTACTATTAACCATCTCCACCTCCCCTAACAGGCCCCCACTACTCTTACCAGCCTCTAGTAACCATTCTTCTACTCTCTACATTCGCAAGTTCAATTGTTTTGATTTATAATTATAGAAATAAGTGAGAACATGCAATATATGTTTTTCTGTGCCTGCCTTATTTCAGTTAACATAATAATCTCCACTTCCACCCATGTTTCACAAATGACTGGATCTCATTCTTTTTTATGGCTGAATAAGTACTGCATTGTATGTATATATGCCACATTTTCTTTATCCATTTATCTCTTGATGGACACAGGTTGCTTCCAAATCTTCGCTATTGTAAACAGTGCTGCAACAAAAATAGGAGTGCAGATATCTTTTTGATATACTGATTTCCTTTCTTTTGCATATGTATCCAGAAATGAGATTTCTGGAACATATGTTAGCTCAATTTTTAGTTTTTTGAGAAACCTCTAAACTGTTCTCCATAGTGGTTGTACTAATTTACATTCCCACTAACAGTATACAAGGGTTTCCTTTCTCTCTATCTTCTCCAGCGGTTTTTATTGCCTGTTTTGGATATAAGCAATTTTACTTGGGGAGAGATGATATCTCATTGTATATTTGATTTGCATTTCTCTGATGATCAATGATGTTGAGAACCTTTTCAAATGCCTGCTTGTCATTTGTGTGTCTTCTTTTTAGAAATAACTATTTAAATCTTTTGCCCACTTTTTGATCACATTATTAGTTTTTTTCTATAGAGTTGTTTGAGTTTCTTATATATTCTGGTTATTCATCCCTTGTTAGATGTGTAATTTGCAAATACTTTCCCCTATTATCTTGGTTGTCTCTTCATTTTGTTGATTGTATCCTTTGCTGTGCAGAAGCCCTTTCACTTGACATGATCCCATTTGTTCACTTTTGCTTTGTTGGTTTGTGTTTGTGGAGTATTGCTCAAGAAAATTTGCTCAGATCAACGTCCTGGAGATATTCCCCAATGTTCTTCTGAAGTAACTTCATCATTTGAGGTCTTCGATTTATGTTTTCAATCCATTTTGATTTAATTTTTGTTAAATCAAAAAGATATAGAGGTCTAGTTTTATTCTTCTGCATATGGATATGCAGTTTCTTCAGGGCCATTTATTAAGATACTCTCTTTTCCCCCAGTGTATGTCTTGGCATCTTTCTTGAAAATGAGTTCACTGTAGGTGTTTGAATTTGTTCCTGGGTTCTCTGTTCTATTGTATTGGTCTATGTGTTTTGTTTTTGTTTTTGTTTTTGTTTTTTTTGCCAGTACTATTTTGCTATTTTGGTTACTACAGCTTTGCATTATAATTTCAAGTCAAGTAATGTGATTCTTTTTTTTTTTTTTTTTTTTTTGCTCAGGAAACCTTTGGTTCTTCTGGGTGTTTTGTGGTTCCATATAAATCTTAGAATTGTTTTTTTTTTTCTCTATTTCTGTGAGAAAGTCATTGGCATTTTGGTAGGGATTGCATTGAATCTATAGAGTATGGACATTTTAACAATATTGATTGATTCTTTCAACTCGTGAACAGGGAATATCTCTCCATTTTTTTGGTGACCTCTTCAATTTCTTTCATCAGTTTTATAGTTTTAGTTACAATCTTTCACTTGTTTGGTTATATTAATTCCTAGGTATTTAATTTTATGTGTGCTTATTTTAAATGGGATTACTTTTTAAATTTCTTTTTCACATTGTTCACTGTTGACATATAGAAATACTACCAAGTTTTGTACATTGATTTTGTATCCTGAAACTTTACTGAATGTGTTTATCACTTCTAGTAGTTTTCTTGTGGAATCTTCAGAATTTTCCATATATAATATCATCTGAAAACAAAGAAATTTGACTTGCTCATTTCCAATTTGGATGTCCTTTATATATTTCTTGTGTATGTTTGCTCTAGCTAGAACTTCCAGCACTATGTAAAATAACAATGGTGACAATGGACATTCTTGTCTTGTTTCAGATCTTATATGAAAGTTTTTTAGTTTTTCCTCATTAAGTATAATACTACCTGTGAATCTGTCATATATGATTTTCATTATGTTGAGTTACGTTCCTTACATCCCCAGTTTTTTTAGAGTTTTTATTACGAAAGGATTTTGAATTTTATCCAATGCTTTCTCAACATCAATTGAAATTATCATATAGATTTATCCTTCATTCTGTTGATATGTATTACATTTATTGATTTGTATATGTTGAACCATCCTTACATCCCTGAGATAAATCTCACTTGGTCATGATGAATGATCTTTCTAACGTATTGTTGAATTTGCTTTGCTAGTATTTTGTTGAGTATTTTTGCATCAATATACATCAGAAATATTGGCCTGTCATTTTCCTTTTAAAATGTGTCTTTTTCTGGTTTTCATATCAGGGTAACACTGGCCTCATAGAATGAGTTTGAAAGTATTCCCTTCTCCTCTATTTTTTGGAATAGTTTAAGTAGGATTGGTATTAGTTCTCTAAATGTTTGATAAAATTCAGCAGTTTGATAAAAATCAGGTCCTAGGATTTTCATTACTGGCAGAGTTTTATTACAGCTTCAATGTAGTTACTTGTTACTGGTCTGTTCAGATACTGGGTTTCTTAATTTAACCTTGGTGTGATGTGTGTGTCTGGAAATTTGTCCATTTATTCTAGATTTTCCAATTTATTGGCATATAGTTTCTTCTAGTAGCCAATAATGATCCTTTGAATGTCTACAGTAACATTTATACTCTCTCCTCTTTCATTTCTGATTTTTTTTTTATCTTTTTTGTCTTTGTGTGGCTACAGGTTTTCAATTTTGTGTAAATTTCCAAAAAACCCACAACTTTTTGTTTCATTAACATTTTGTATTTTTTCATTCCAATTTTATTTCTGCTTCAATCTTTATAATTTCCTTTTTTTCCTGCTAATTTTGGGTGTGCTTTCATCTTGCTTTTCTAGTTCTTTAAGATGCATTATTACACTTATTATTTGAAGGCTTTTCTCTGTTTAGATGTAGACAGTTATAGCTATAAATTTCCTTCTCAGTATTGCTTTTGCTATATTCCATAAGTTTTAGTATGTTGTGTTTGCATTATTATTTGTTTCAAGAAGAGTTTCTAT
Organism: Homo sapiens; assembly: GCF_000001405.40. NCBI lineage: Eukaryota > Metazoa > Chordata > Mammalia > Primates > Hominidae > Homo > Homo sapiens. The sequence goes on along the minus strand of NC_000024.10, from coordinate 4,094,051 downwards.
TTTCTTCTTAATATCTTCACTGGCCCACTGGTCATTCAGAAGTATAGTGTTTAATTTCTAGGCATTTGTAAAATTTCCAAAATTTCTCCTGTTATTCTTCTCTAGTTTTATCCCATTATGTTCAGAGAAGATGCTTGATATAATTTCAATTTTTTTGAAAGTTTTAAGATTTTTTGGGGACATAATATATGATCTACTTTTGAGAATAATTCATATGCTGAGGAAAATAATGTGTATTCTGCAGCTCTTGGATGAAGTATTCTGTAAATACCTATTAAATACATTTGTTCTACAGTGCAGATTAATACTAACGTTTGTTGATTTTCAGTGTGGAGGATCTGGCTAATGTGAAAAGTGGGGTGTTGATGTCACTATCTATTATTGTATTATGGCCTATCTCTCTAGCTCTAATAATATTTCCTTTATGTATCTCGGTGCTCCAGTGTTGGGTGCATATGTATTTAAAATTGTTATATTATCTTGCTAAATTGACCTCTTTATCATTAGTTACCTTCTGTGTCTGTTCTTATAGTTATTCTCTCAAAATTTATTTTGTCTAATGTAAGTATAGTGACTCCTGCTCTTTTTTGGTTTCCATTGGCATTAGATGTCTTTTTCTATTCCTTTATTATCTATCTATGTGTGTCTTTATAGGCAAAATGTGTTTTTTGTCTGCAAGAGGTCAATGAGTCTTTTTTTTAATTCATTCAGTCAGTCTCTGTCTTTTGATTGGAGAGTTTAGTCCATTTACATTCAATGTTATTACTTCTGCCATTTTAATGTTTTCTGGTTGTTTTTCTCTTCACTTTTTCCTTTATTCCTGTCTTCTAGTGGAAATGATTTTCTCTGATATGATTTATTTTCTTGCTTTTGTTTTGTGTATTTACCGTATTTTTTTGTTTTTGTTTTTTGGCTACCATGAGGATTGCAAATACGAGTCAATATTTTAACCTCATAACAACTTACTACTAAATGCATAAACAAACAAAGAGAAAAATAACAAAAACTCACCTTAACTTTGTCCCTTGGCTTTTTAACTTTCTGTTATTTCTATTTTTTATTATTATATTGACTATGTTTTGAAAAGCTGTTGTAATTATTATTTTTGATTGGTTTATCATTTAGTCTTTCTACTTCAGATAAGAACAGTTTACACACCACAGTTACAGTGTTATAATAGTTTGTGTTTTTCTGTGTACTTACTTTTACCAGTAAGTTTTGTACATTCAGGTGATTATTTATTGCTCATTAATGTCCTTTTTTTCTGATTAAACTACTCCATTTAGCATCTCTTGAAGGATGGTTCTGGTATTGATGAAGTCTCTCAGCTTTTGTTTGCTTGGGAAAGTCTTTAGTTCTCCATCAGGTTTGATGGATATTTTCACTAGATATAATATTTTAAGGTAAAATACATTTTTCCCCTTCAGCACGTTAAGCATGTTATTCTAATCTCTCCTGGCCTTTGAGGTTTTCAATAAAAGTCTGCTGCCAGATCTATAAGCTTCTCTTACATGCATATTGATATATTTCTGTAAGTTTGGAAAGTTCTCTGTTATTATCCCTTTCAATAAACTTTCTACCCATCGGTTTCTTTCTTTTCTTTTTTTTTAATGGCTTAAATAGTCCTTTATTCCTTAATCAGGTCTTTTTTTTTCTGAACTCGGTATATTACATAAGACTTTTTTAGTGTTTTGTTTTTGTTTTACTACACACACACACACACACACACACACACACACATATATATACTTTTTATAGGTTTTTGGAAAGCAGATGGTGTTTGACTACATGAGTAAATTCTTTGGTGGTGATTTGTGAGATTTTGCTGCACCTATCACCTGAGCAGTATACACAACACAATTTGTAGTATATTATGCCTCACCCTCCTCCCACCCTTTCCCTCAAGTCCCTAAAGTCCATTGTATCATTCTTATGACTTTGTATCCCCACAGGTTAGCTTCCACTTATAAGTGAGAACATACAATGTTTGGTTTTCCATTTCTGAGTTACTTTACTTAGAATAATAATCTCCAGTTCCATGCAGGTTGTTGTAAATGCCATTAATCCATTCTTTTTTATGACTTGAGTATTACTCCATCATACATACATGCCAAAATTTCTTTATCCACTCATTCATTGATGGGCAATTGGGCTGGTTTCATATTTTTGCAATTGTGACTTGTGCTGCTATAAACATATGTGTGCAAGTATCTTTTTAATATAATGACTTCTTTTCCTCTGGGTAGATACCCAGTCATGGGATTGCTGGATAAAATGGTAGTTCTACTTTTAGTTTTTTAAGAAATCTCCACACTGTTTTCCATAGTGGTTGTACTAGTTTACATTTCCACCAGCAGTGTAGAAGTGCTCCTCTTTTCCTGCATCCATGCCAAGATCTATTATTTTTTTAAATTTTTTGATAATGGCCATTCTTACAGGTGTAAGGTGGTATAGCATTGTGGTTTTGATTTGCTTGCTCCTGATCATTAGTGATGTTGAGCATTTTATCACATGCTTGTTGGCCATTTAGTATGTTTTATTTTGGGAATTGTCTATGCATGTGTTTAACCCACTTTTTGAAGGGATTGTTAGATTTTTTGTTGCTAATTTGTTTGAGTTCCTTGTAGATTCTGGATATTAGTCTTTTGTTGAATGTATAGGTTGTGAAGATTTTCTCTCACTCTGAGGGCTGTTTACTCTGCTGGAAGTTCCTTTTGCTGTGCAGAAGCTCTTTAGTGAAGTCCAACCTAGTTATCTTTGTTTATGTTGCATTTTCTTTTGAGTTCTTGGTCATGAATTCTTTGTCTAAGCCAATGTCTAAAATGGTTTTTCTTATGTTATCTTCTAGAATTTTTATAGTTTTAGGTCTTAGATTTAAATCCTTGATCCATCTTGGGTTGACTTTTGTGTAAAGTAAGAGATGAGAATCTGGTTTCATTCTCCTACATGTGGCTTGCCAAATATCCCAGCAAGATTTGTTGAATGGGGTGTCATTTCCCCAATTTATGTTTTCGTGTGCTTTGTCAAGGATCAGGTGGCTGTAAGTATTTCAGTTTATTTCTGGGTTTTCTATTTTGTTCCATTGGTCTGTGCCAAATTTTATACCAGTACCATGCTGTTTTGGTGACTATAGCTTCATAGTATAGTTTGAAGTCAGGTAATGTGATGCCTTCGGACTTGTTCTCTTTGCTTAGTCTTGCTTTGCCTATGTGGGCTCTTTTTTGGTTCCATATGAATGTTGGGATTGTTTTTTCTAGCTCTGTGAGGAATAATGTTGGTACTTTCATGGGAATTGCATTGAATGTGTAGATTGCTTTTGGCAGTATGGCCATTTCACAATATTGATTCTACTCATCTATGAGAACAAAATATGTTTTCAATTTTTTCTGTCATCTATGATTTATTTCAGGAGTGTTTTGAAATTTTATTTGTAGATGTCTTTTACCTCCTTGGTTAGGTATAATTTTAAGTGTTTTATTTTTTTCACAGCTATTGTAAAAGGGTTTTAGTTCGTGATTTGATTCTCAGCTTGGTCTCTGTTGATGTATAGAAAAACTACTGAATTGTGTACATTAATTTTTTATCCTGAAACTGCTGAATTCATTTATTAGTTCTAAGAGATTTTTGGAGGAATCTTCAGGGTTTTATAGGTATACAATCATATCGTCAGCAAACAGTGACAGTTTGACTTCCTGTTTACCCATTCAAATACCCTTTATTTCTTCCTCTTATCTGATTGGTTTGGCTAGAACTTCCAGTACTATGCCAGATAAATTTGATGAAAGTGGGCATCCTTGCCTTGTTCTAGATCTCAGGGAGAATGCTTTCAACATTTTCCCCATTCAATATTATGTTGCCTGTGGGTTTGTCATAGATGGCTTTTATTATTTATTTATTTATCGAGATGGAGTCTTGCTCTGTCACCAGGCTAGAGTGCAGTGGCGCAATCTCAGCTCACTGCAACCTCTGCCTCCCAGTTTCAAGTGATTCTTCTGCCTCAGCCTCCTGAGTAGCTGGGACTACAGGCACACGCCACCACGCCCAGCTAATTTATTAGTATTATTTTTTTTTAGTAGAGACAGGGTTTCACCATGTTGGCCAGGATGGTCTTGATCCCTTGACCTTGTGATCTGCCCACCTCGGCTTCCCAAAGTGCTGAGATTACAGGCGTGAGCTACTGTGCCTCTCCAATGGCTTTTATTACATAGAATTATGTCTCTTGTATGCCAATTTTGCTGATGAATTTAATTATAAAGTGATGCTGGATTTTGTCAAATGCTTTTTCTGCATTTATTGAGACCATTATATGATTTTTGTTTTTAATTCTGTTAATATGGTGTATCACATTCATTAACTTGCATATGTTAAACCATCCCTGCATCCCTGCCTCCCTGGAATGAAACCAACTTGATTATGATACATTATCTTTATTTTATTTTATTTTATTTTATTTTATTTTATTTATTTTTTTTTTTTAGATGGAGTCTCACTCTTTCACCCAGTCTGGAGTACAGTGGCATGATCTTGGCTCATTGCAACCTCTGCCTCCTGGGCTCAAGCAATTCTCATGCCTCAGTGTCCTGAGTAGCTGGGATTACAGGTGTGCACCACTATGCCCAGCTACTTTTTGTACTTTTAGTAGAGATGAGGCTTCACCATGTTGGCCAGGCTGGTCTCGAAACCCTGACCTCAAATGATCCACCTGCTTTGGCCTCTCAAAGTGCTGGATTACAGGCATGGACCACCATGCTTGACTGGATTATCTTTTTGACATGCTGTTGAATTTCATTAGCTATTTTTTGTTAAGGATTTTTGCATCTATGTTCATCAAGGATATTGGTCTGTAGTTTTCTTTTTTTGTTATGTTCTTTTCTGGTTTTGGTATTATGGTGATACTGGATTCATAGATTCATTTAGAGAGGATTTCCTTTTCCTCTGTCTTGTAGAATAGTGTGAGTAAAATTGGTACCAATTCCTCTTTGAATGTCTGATTGAATTCAGCTGTGAATCTGTCTGGTCATGGACCTTTTTTGTTGGTAATTTTTTATATGCATTTTAATCTTACTGCTTCTTATTAGTCTCTTCAGGATTTCTAATTATTCCTTATTTAAGCTAGGATGGTTGTATATTTCCAGGAATTTATCCATAGTCTCTAGGTTTTGTAATTTACGCACATAAACTATGTGTTCATAATATCATTAAATGACCTTTTATATTTCTGTTGTGTCAGTTGTAATATCTCCCATTTCATTTTTAATTGAACTTATTTGCATCTTGTTTCTTCTTTTCTTGGTTAACCTTGTGAATGTTCTGTCAATTTTATTTATCTTTAAAAAGAAACAGCTTTTTGTTTCATTTATCTTTTGTATTTGTGTGAGTGTGTGTGTGTGTGTGTGTGTGTTTCAATTTCATTTAGTTCTGCTCTGTTCTTGATTACTTATTTTCTTCTGGTGAATTTGGGTTTGGTTTGTTCTTATTTCTCCAGTTCCTTGAGATTTGACCTTAGACTATCTATTTGTGCTCTTTTGGACTTTTTGATGTAGGCATTTAAGGCTATGGACTTTCCTCTTAGCACTACCTTTGTCCTATCTCAGTGGTTTTGACAGGTTGCATCACCATTATCATTCAGTTCAAGTACGTTTTTTAAATTTTCATCTTGATTTCATTGTTTACCCAATAATCATTCAGGAACAGTTTATTTAATTTCTATGTACTTGCATGGTTTTGAAGTTTCCTTTTGGAGTTGATTTCCAATTTTTTTCCACTGTGGTCTGAGAGAGTACTTGATAAAACTTTATTTTTTAAAGTTCTATTGAGACTTGTTTTGTGGACTGTCATATGGTCTATCTTGGATAAATTTCCATGCACTGATGAACAGAATGTTTATTCTGCAGTTGTTATGTAAAATGTTCTGTAAATACCTGTTAAGTCCATTTGTTCTTGGGTATAGTTTAAATTCATATTTTCTTTGTTGACTTTCTGTTTTGATGACTTGTCTAGTGCTGTCACTGGAGTATTAAAATCCTCCACTATTATTGTGTTGCTGTCCATCTCATTTCTTAGGTCTATTAGTAATTGTTTTATAAATTTGAGATCTCCAGTGTTAGGTGCGTATATATTTAGAATTGTGATATTTTCATGTTGGACAAAGCTATTTATCATTATATAAAGTCCCTCTTTGTCTTTTTAAATTGCTTTTTTTAAAAAAAAGTTTGTTATGTCTGATAGAAGAATAGCTACTACTGCTTGTTTTGGGTGTCTATTTGCATAAAATGTCTTTTTCCACTCCTTTACCTTAAGTTTATATGAGTCCCTATGTGTTAGGTGAGTCTTTTGAAGGCAGCAGACCCTTGGTTGGTGAATTGTTATCCATTCTGCTATTCTTTATCTTTTAAGTGGCGCATTTAGGCTATTTATATTCAACGTTACAATTCCATTCATTGTGCTATTTATTGCCTGAACATCTTGTTTTTTTAAATTAATTTATTTATTTTTCTTATTTTTGTTTTATAGGTCCTGTGAGACTCATGCTTTAAAGAGGTACTGCTTCTATGTGTTTTCAGGATTTGTTTCAAGATTTAGAGCTCCTTTTAGTAGTTCTTATAGTGCTGGCTTGGTAGTGGTGAATTCTCTCAGCATTTGTTTGTCTGAGAAAAACTGTATCTTTCATTTATCAAGCTTCATTTCACTGGATAGAAAATTCTTGGCTGATAATTGTTTTGTTTAAGGGGGCTGAAAATAGGGCACCAATTCCTTTTAGCTTGTAGGGTTTCTGCTGAGAAATATGCTGTTAATCTGATAGGTTTTTCTTTGTAGGCTACATGGTGCCTTTGCCTCACAACTCTTAAGATGCTTTCTTCATGTTGAGTTTAGATAACCTGATGACTATGTGCCTAGGTGATTATTTTTTTGTGATGAATTTTCTTTGAGTTTCCTGTATTTGGATATCTAGATCTCTAGAGAGGTCAGGAAAGTTTTCCTCAATTATTTCCCCAAATATATTTTCCAAACTTTTAGATTTCTTTTCTTCCTCAAGAGTGCCAGTTATTCTTATAACTGGCATTTAGTCATTAAACATAATCTCAAACTCCTTGGAGCCTTTGTTCATTTTCTTAAAATTATTTTTCATTTGTCTTTGTTGGGTTGGGTTATTTCTCAAACCTTGTCTTTGAGCTCTGAAGTTCTTTCTTCTGCTTGTTTGACTCTATTGCTAAGACCTTCTAGAACCCTTTGCATTTATCTAAGTGTGTCCTTTATTTCCTGAAGTTGCACTTGTTTTTTATTTAAGCTATCTATTTCACTGAAGGTTTCTGCACTCATATATTGTATCATTGTTTTGATTTCTTTAAATTGAACTTAAAGTTTATCTGGTACCTCCTTGATTAGCTTAATAATTGACCTGAATTCTTTTTCTTGTAATTCAGGGATCTCTTCCTGGTTTGAATCCATTGCTGCTGCCCTAGTGTGATTTTTTGGGGGGTGTTAAAGAACCCTGTTTTGTCTTATTAGCAGGATTGTTTTTCTGGTTTCTTCTCATTTAGGTAGGCTAACTCAGAGGGAAGATCTGGGGCTCAAGGCTGCTGTTCAGATTCTTTTTTGGCCATGGGGTGTATCCTTGATGTAGCACTATTTCCCTTTTTCTATAAATGTGGCTTACTTAGATCTGTGCTGTAGTGATTGTTATTTCTCTTATTGATCTAGCCACCCAGCAGGCCTACCAGGCCCTGGGCTGGTCTTGTGGGGTGTCTGCATAGAGTTTTGTGATGTGAACCATCTTCAGGTCTCTCAGCCATGGATACCAGCACCTGCTCCAGTGGAGGTGGCAGGGGAGTAAAATGGACTCTGTGAGAGTCCTTAGTTGTAGTTGTTTAATGCATTAGTTTTGTGCTAGTTGGTCTCCTTCCTGGAGTTGGTGCTTTCAAGAGAGCATCAGATGTGGTAGTATACAGGAGGGTCAGGTGGTGGGTGGGGCCCTAGCATTCCCAAGAGAATATGACCTTTGTCTTCAGCTACCAGGGCAGGTAGGGAAAGACCATAAGGTGGAGGCAGTGTAAGGCCTATCTGAGCTTAGACTCTCCTTGCTGCAGCTGCGTGGGGATGGGGTTGTTGTTTCCAGGTCAATGTAGTTATGTTCCCAAAATGATTATGGCTGCCTCTGCTGTTTCATGCAGGTTTTCAGGGAAGTTGGGGAATGCCAGCAGTTACAGGCCTCACTCAGCTCCTGTGCAACCCAAAAGGCTGGTGTCACTCCCTCCATGCCATCCCAATAGCACCAAGTTTGTTCCCAGCAGTGGATGAGCAGGGCTGAGAACTTGCTCTAGGCTATCAGCCTCCCAGCTAAGAAAGCAAACAGGGCTTTTGCACCTCTCCACCTGTTGAGTCTGCAAACCAGATTCATGCTCTTCCCCAAGTTCTGGCCAGGAATCTTCACCCTTGGTTGGAATTGTTACAAAGTTCAACTGGAGGTTTCCTTCTCCTTGTGTTCTTTTTCCAGTTCCTCTGGCAGCCCTCCCCAAGGACCCCTATGAGACAAGTCAAAAATGGCTTCCCTGGGGACCCACAGAGCCCACAGGGCTTTTCCCACTGCTTCCTCTACCCCTGTATTTCACTCAGCTCTCTAAATTTTCTCAGTTCCAGGTAAGGTCAAATCCTTCTCCCGTGATCTGGACATTCAGGTTCCCCAGTGAGGGTGTGTGTTCAGGGGTGGATAGTCCCCCTTTTCCACTTTCACATTTTGGGCACTCACAATATTTGGGCTGTCTCCCATGTCCTGCAGGAGCAATCCACTTCCTTCAAAGGGTCTGTGGATTCCCTCGGCTTTCCTGGTTTATTCCTGAAGTACTTCTTAGAGCAAAAGTTCACAGTGCAAGTCTTCCCATGGTGCTCTGTCCATCCAAGTGAGAGCTGCAATTTAGTCCCGCCTCCTATCCACAACTTTTTTCATCTCTCCTACCCCTCTCTTTCTCTGCCTCCTCTTTAAGGCCAATAACTCTTAGACTGGCCCTTTTGAGGCTATTTTCTAGATTCTGTAGGTGTGCTTTCTTGGTTTTTATTCTTTTTTTTTTCTATCTCCTTTGACTGTGTATTTTCATGTAGCCTATATTCAAACTCACTATTTCTTTCTCCTGTCTGATCAGTTCTGCCAGCAATTCACACTCATGCATTCTTCAGTATGCCAATTTCCTTTTCCAGCTCCAGAATTTTTGTTGAATTTTTTTAATGATTTCAATCTCTTTTGTTAAATTTATCTTATATAATTCTTAATTTCTTATCTATGTTATCTTGAATTTATCTGAATTTCCTCAACACAGCCATTTTGAATTTTCTGTCCGAAAGGTCATATCTCTATTTCTCCAGAATTGGTCCTTGGTGCCTTATGTAGCTCATTTGACATGGTCATGTTTTCCTGGTTGGTGTTGATGCTAGTAGATGTTCTTTGGTGTCTGAGCATTGAAGAGTTAGGTATTTATTGCAGTCTTAACTGTCTGGGCTTATTCGTAGCCATCCTTCTTGTGAAGGCTTTCCAGATATTGAGAAGACTTGGATGTTGTGATCTAAGCTGTTTCTGCTTTAGGAGAAACCCCAAGGCCAGCAATGCTGTGGTTCTTTTAGACTCACAGAAGTATCACCTTGATATCCTTGGGCAAGATCCAGGAAAATTCTCTGCATTATCAAACAGAGACTCTTTTCTTACTTTCTCCCAAGCATACAGTCTCTCTCTCTCTCTCTCTCTCTCTCTCTCTCTCTCTCTCACCACCTAAAGCTGGGGTGGAGTTACAGAAGCACCCTTGTGGCCACCACCATTACGACTGTGCTGGGTCAGTCTTGAAGCCAGCACAGCACTGAGTCTTGCCTAAGGCCTGCTTTAACCACTCCCTGGCCACTGCCAATGTCAGTAAAAGTCCTGGAGCTCTACAATCAGCAGGTAGCAATGCCAGCCAGACCTATGTCTTTCCCTTCAAGGCAGTAAGTTACCTTTTCCCCAGGTGAGTCCAGAAGTATCATCCAAGTATCAGGGACTAGAGTTAAAAATCTTAGAAGTCTACCTGGTGTTGAGCTGATACTCAAATCACAAGATGCAGTTTATTTCACTTTTCCCTCCCTTTTCCAAAGGCAGAGGAAACTTACCTCATAGCCACAGCCACCCCTGGTCACAAGAAGTGCTGCCAGACTATCACTGATGTTCCATTAAGGCCCAAGGTCTCTTAAGTCCACTTGTGCAAGACTGCCTGGTCTTGCACTCACCCTTCAGGGCAATGGGCTCCCCTCTTGCCTTTGGAAGGTCTAGACATGCCATCCAAGAGTCAAGTCCTGGGATCAGGGACCCCAAGAGCCCGCTTGGTGCTCCACACCCTTGTGGCAGTTGATACCTAAGATGCAAGACAAGGTCCCCTTTATATTTTCCTCTGCTTTCCTCAAGCAGGAGTTTGGACACCACTGCTGGTAATGTGTTAGTCTCACCTGAAGCCAGCAAGTCTTAGAAGCTCATCAAGGCCCTCAATGTACTACCTGGGTATTGCTGCTGGTTTTTCAGGGCCCAGGGGCTCTTCAGTTAGTGGGTGATGAATGCTGGCAGGATGAGTTTCTTTTCTTCAAGGCAGTGGGTTCCCTTCTGGCTCAGGATATGTCTGGAAATGTCCCAAAGCTATGGCCTGAAATGGAGGCCTCATGATGGGTGCCTTATCCTGTCGTGGTTGGGCTGGTATCCAAAATGCAACACGAAGTCCTCTGCACTCTTCTTTGTCCTCTCCTCAAGCAGAAGAAGGGATCTCTTTTGGAGCCACAAGCTATGCAGCCTGGGGTTAGCAGGGAGGTCATGCCAGCACTCCCTTGGCTGCCTCAGCTGGTGTTTCAGTAGGTCACATGCCTACTCAAAGCAGGAAGTTTTCTATCAGTGGAGCTTTATATTTAACCATCTGGCTCCGCTTCCTCAGTGGTGATTAAGTTAGCTAACCATTGTGCAACAGAAAATATTTTTCAGGCAGAGGGAACCTCAACTATATTCATTTTTCATAATACAGAAAAATTGGAATTAACTTATATGATCATCATCAGGAAAATGGATAAATTTTGGTATATGATTATAATGCAATTCTGCACATTACTTACAACTAGTTAACTCACATAGTTAAGTCTCAGAAATGTAATCTAGAGTTTAAAAAGCCAGTTGGAGAGGTGAGTTATAGTTTGGTGTCATTTTCTGTTACATTTTAAGCCCACACGTCAGTACTGTATAATGTTTCTGGATATATACATATGTAATAAAAGTAAAGTAAAACGTGCATGGGAATTATAAATACTGAATTTGGTTGACTAGTTGCCCTTGGTAAACAGAAAGGAAAGTAGGTAAGTGAGGGTAATTTTCAACCATGTTTATTTGTTTTTTTTAATTATTCAAAGCAAACATGGAAATTATTGATATCTATTTTTTATTTGAGAGATACATAGGTTTCTCTTATATGTTTTCTAGTTTTCTATATTTTTAAAATATACCATTATTTAAATAATTAAAATAAATAACGCTGTGATAAATATCATTTTAGGTAAACCTTATGCACAACCCTGCAACCAATGCATAGAATTTATGAACATTTTTAGAAACTTTCCTCAATTATTTATAATCACTACAACTTCCCCTAATTCAATATCATATTTTAAAGACTTGCCCCCATAAGTTTTTCCAAAAATTCAGCACAGATTTCACTAAAAACAACTTATGTTTCAGTCAGTATAATCTACAGTGAGAATGGAGGGTAGTCAGTAATGTGGCTCATTGGTTAAGTGGAAGTGAGTTAAGAAAACTTCCTGCTGTGAGTTATTTTAATTGAATTTCTACATTTTCTGGATTCGTAGTAGGTATATATTATAATAATTGTGGTGCTTCTCCCTTCTTATCTTCACATATTTTGGTTATTTTTATTTCCAGTTTTCAGTGACTACAAAATTGAGAACAGTGTTTTTAAATGGTGGTGATAATAGGTACTTTGGACGTATTGTAGACAGTAATGGGTAGTTTATGACAGCTATTTGTTTATCTTATTTTGGAAATACTCTTTCATTAAACATGAAATTGTTAGTCTGCATCTATGTTCACTTTAATTATTATTTTCTATTTAGGCATTGTTATTTAGAAAGAGAGGACTAGCCACATATTTATATGTCTAATTTACGGTTCTAAAGAGGAGAGAGAGCACCCTTGACATAAGTAACTCCATATTAGAAAACGTCTCCATCTTGCATTTCATAGGGCACTTTGCCAACAGGGAAAATATATTTTGCTTAATAAAGAAATAAAAAAATAAAGACTGCATCCAATCAGGTAAAGACATACATAAACAAGCGCATTCCTCCACTGTCAGTTTTTGCCAGAGGACTCTGGCTATACAAAGAGCAAGGCTTGAGCAGTTCTAAATAGCCATCTTAACTGACATCATGTAACTATCAACCCCAATAAGCACTTAGCATCTATTACCAAACTCTCTGCCCACACAGGGATTCTTCCAATAGACCACTGGGCCCAGACCACCAGATTATTTTTGTCTTTGTTGCTTTGCATGGACTAGTGTATTAACACCTTTTTCTATTTCTTTTCTCTTGATGTTAAATATTTCTTTATTTCTTTATGAAATGTTTAATCTATGACTTTATATATTGATTAAGTATACCTTTTTTTTTTTTTTTTTTTTGAGACGGAGACTCGCTTTGTCACCCAGGCTGCAGTGCAGTGGCGCCATCTCGGCTCACTGCAAGCTCCACCTCCTGGGTTCACGCCATTCTCCTGCCTCAGCCTCCCGAGTAGCTGGGACTACAGGCGTCCACCACCACGCCCGGCTAATTTTTTGTATTTTTAGTGGAGACGGGGTTTCACCGTGTTAGCCAGGATGGTCTCGATCTCCCGACCTCGTGATCCGCCCGCCTCAGCCTCCCAAAGTTCTGGGATTTCAGGTATGAGCCACCGCGCCCGGCCCGATTAAGTATACTATTATGTATGATTGGCAATATTGACTGGCTTGTGGAGTGTCTTGTGCCTGTGTACCCAAGGTCTCATTACCAAGTGAATGGGAAGTACTAAGGAAATTTGCCTCCTTGGGAACTCCATGTAGCTGGTGGCTTTTGTGATTGAAATAGCATCAATAAATGTTGATATAGTGAAAAGACACAAACGTGTGTGGAACTGCTTATCTCTGATCTTGCACTGCTCATGAAAGAAGAAATGCAAAGGCAACCAAATAGTCGTGATTTGAGAAAACTGCACTCTCCGGTAAAAATAAATATGACTATAACGTAAAATATATTACTGAAAATGGTAGATAAAACTAGTAAGTTAAAACTAGTAAGAAGAAAAATATAATCTAAGATTCAGTGCTAACAATTGTTTTAAAGCTTTGCTTTTCATTAAGAGTTTCATTTATATATATGAATTGTACATATACAATTTAATAAAAGCTATAAAGATCTAAGGAGTTCATAAACTGAAAGGGTTTTAAGAACATGATAAAAAAAAGTCTTACCCAAATACAAAGAATCACTACCAAATGTTATAAAGTGTCAAAGTCAATTCTTTTTTCTCTTCTCAATTCTGGAGAATGATTTTGTGCATTCTAAAGTATAAATTTACTGCTGCAGTTTTCAGCTCCAACAGCTCTGTTATCCTGGCTCAGTGATTCCCTGAGTTTATATACAAAGCCAATCTCTGTGTTTCTCACAGTCTGTAAACAAAATATGTCCTTTTTCAGAATGGAAACTATTGTCTTGCTTTAAAGGGGCTATACTTCAGAAAGAGTTTTAAAATGAATGCTTAGTAAATTGTCTTTTAAATATTAAGCATAATTAAACATAACATTAAACACAGGGGCAGTAAAATTAGAACAAAGATTAACTCTTGAATATAGGTACAAGACCAGAGTACTTTTGCCTCTGAAATGAGTACCCTATTGAGAGATATGAGATGTGTTCGATAAGTTACTCATGTAAATCTTTTCAAGCAACATACTGCACCATCAGAAATATGCCACTCTAACACGTAACTGATACACATTTTACTGAAATCAAATTCATTGTTATCTATTTTTGATGAAGTAACAGTGCTATACCAGAATCTTTTTCTTGACTGAAAAAGATTTTCAATCTTTTTTTATGTTATGTTTTTAATAACATAAATATGCCTCTGCATCTTCAGTTCTGCTTCTCAGAGTTAGAACATTGATTCTAGATCTTTGTTCTTTAAACATATATAACCCTGGTGGAAAACAGCAATTCATAAAGCTATAGCGAGAATATTTCTAAGAAATGATCAACCACCTTTGTAGTAATTCTAAGCTGACAAAAATGTAATAACAATACAATAAAGTCTTTTAATCTAAAATTTGCCACATCCTCTTTGTTTGTATGTCCAAGAGGAAGCTGCTACATCAAGGAGTATTAGTTATTGATATGAGGAGTATTTCCCAATCTAAGAAATTGATGTTCTGTGTTTTATTATAATAATATAGCAAATTTGATTATTGCAAATACTTTCCAACAAAACTGATCAACTTTAGATGGATTTATAAAATCACATTTCTCAATAATAACTCTCCTCCATGACCTGACCCTGAAATTTCTGTGACCCCACAAAAATAGCAAATAGCCCTAGAAGTTAATCTTTCTAAATACCTTAACTTAAACAAGTTGCCTTAAAGGAAATGTAAATTATTCATGTGCATGTAAAGTATTTTACAATACTGCATCCCGCCCCCCACCATCTTCCCTTTAGAACTTTAACTAAAGGTGTAATAAAATTGTACACATCTTACTATGCTTTAATTTTTAAAGCAGATGTAAAAATGTTCAAAACTAAACTACTCTAACCCCAGTATTTATCTACCATTCTTCTCTCTTCTCACCTATATTCTAAAAGAAAAAGAAAAAAGAAAAACGACTTCAAAAAATGCAATGTTTGTGGGAGACAAATATGCGCATACGAGGGCCAACAAAATACTGAGTAATGGGCTTTCACAATAAGATAAGCCCTAGACTTTGCTCTTGAGGTGCTTATGGTCCAGTGAAGGAAAAAACTTGCCAACAAACTATTATAGCACCAGATGACAAGTGCCATAACAGAGAAACACACAATGCATTCTAGAAGCATTGAGAAAACAATTACTGTGTCTACGTGAGATAAGTAGAAAGATTTTGTAAGATCCGATGTTAAAAATACTCAGAAAAGAACACCTCATAGCAATGTCCAGGGACCATTTGTTAATTGGGCTCGGTGGTGGCTAGGACAATGTACTCTGTGCCCATTCTGTGTTGAATCTTAAGGAGCTGCATTCCTTCATATTAATAGACAAATCAAGCTGTGAGTGTGGATGAACAATGGGCAGTGGTTTCAACTAGGCACCTCCTGCAGATATATTTGGTGTGCCACATCCTATGTCTTTAAAAAAACTTTATTTGAATGTCTTTAGACATATCATGTTCCCAAGTTTATTATATGTATCTTATCACTCCCTAGTATCTCACATGCAGCCAGCTTCATTCATAATTGTACCTTCTTAACATTTATTTGGCTCTGCTGGGATCGTATCTTTATGGTTCTCAACTAAGACTTAAATGTAAGATATTTCTTATGGAAAGCATAACAGAAGATTGATTAATAAGAATAAAAGAACCCCAGGGGACAAAAATGTACATTTTTATAAATTCTATTTATTTAAAAAAATAACAAATTTCACCCACGTAGCCATTTGGGATAAAACCAAGAAATACACAGGTCATTTTTTGTTTTTATTTTGGATTTTCTTTATTATGTTATATTTATTTTTGGGACAGGGATTTGGTCAATGGACTCTAAATGACTATGCCCCAACATGTGTGCTATATTTTTTACTGAAATTTTATATTTAAACTGATGACTGAGTGACTTAAACACATGTTTTAGGACACTAATAGTTGTATTTCAGATACTTTTCTAATAGGAATAAGAATTATTTGGGGCATGAATGTAGGCTGCTTTTCTTTCTAACTCTCCTTAATCTTACTGTGTAGGCAGATGTCTGCTTTGCCAAGCACAACACCAGAATTAAATCCAACTTTGATGACCTTATATTGGTATAAGCTGTTTAAGGAACATATTCCTCAATGGTGACATCAACATAAGGATGATTCTCACTAATCAATATTAACTCAATGTTGCACTCATAAATGTTCTTCTTAAAATCATGATTTTTTTCACTTACTCTTAATTAAGAAGTAATGAAGTTTACCTTGACTATAAATGTTGTACATAATGAATAAACCTAAGAAATCTTTAGGTTTCATTCTGCACTTAAAATATCTTTGCCACTAGCATGGGAAAAACCTTGATTATGCATTTTTGCATTGCCCTGAGACTTTGAAAAATAGGGAAAAATGAGTTATATTGCTACTTGGAGTTTGTATATAGCAGTAGGTTCTCTTTTAAAATGTACCTGAATTTGTAATTTCCTGTGAACTAAGAAAATAATAATCATTGTCTATTATTGCCAATATAGTAGCAGCAGTGTATCAGCTCACTGCCTTCTTCAGGGTGGTAACAGAATAAATGATTCCACAGATGTATGCTGCTTGATACTTTTTAATAATACTCAACTGATGATAGATGCCAAGGATTAACTTAACATAAAAGTACTGAATCCATTAATATGGGCTCCTGTGTCCTAAGGGAAACTCTTTATATGTATATTTTGTGTGGTTGTGTGTTTGATCACTGGCTCAATAAGGTAACGGCCAGAAAGTCTGTTTTATTTCTCTTAGAGTAAGCAGGCATCTAACTATATAAAAACTCTGTTATGTGAATATTCATTAAGTATACAAGTTTTCAGGAGTGAGTGTTGAAGAGACAATGATACCCTCAAACACATTTATGATGATTTTAAGGTACAATCAGTTTTGAAGTAAGTGTTATAATCAAATACAGAAATTTCATAAAGAAGAAATGACATAAACTTACAGTGTAGAATTCATGATGTGAATTTTTAAAAAGCTATTTTCCACATCAATATTTCCCCTCTCCTTTACTGCTTTCCCATAAACTCATTTACAGTGAGTGATGGCTAACTTGTCACTTAGTCATGTCCAAGTATATTTGCAGTTGAAAAGATGTCTGCAGGAAAAAAGCTACATTTAACTCCCACCAAAAATTTTACTGATTATCCCTCCAGAAACCAGAGTCAGAGTCTGCAGAAACATTCAGAGAAAGATGCCCTGATCAGGGTATGGTGCTCCATATATTACCCTCTTTCCTGTTTTAATAATGTTATACAAGTCAGTTGTTACTAGACAGCCCCATACATGCTACATCACCCCCATGGTGCTGATTTGATATTTATATATGGCTTATAGAAGTAAAAGTATTTTATATCCTATTGTATGCACATCTTACATCCTCTTTGGCACCAGCATATAGTAGTACCCCCTTATCTCTCACCCTATACCAGGAACTACTGAGAATCTACTACAGGGTGAGATTATGTCCTCCCACGGCACAGGGAAAGTCTTCAATTTGTCATGCCTTAAGAATACTTCTGAGACAAAACATTTTCATGTGTCTGTCTGTTTATATGTTGTTATATTGTGTTGTTTGCACAGTGAGGGGGCTGGTGAAGGAGAGATATGATGTGTGTCTTTGATTTCACATAATATAGATACCTTCCCATTCCACCATTCAGTATTAATAAATAATTTATTGTGTGGTTACTATGTCCTAGGTATTGTGATAAATAGACACTTATCTCAAGCAATTCTTACATCAAACATTATGAAGTAGAAACATTCCATGCTCATGGATGGGAAGAATCAATATCGTGAAAATGGCCATACTGCCCAAATAAATTTATAGATTCAATGCCATCCCCATCAAGCTACTATTTACTTTCTTCACAGAACCAGAAAAAACTACTTTAAATTTCATATGGAATCGAAAAAGAGCCTGTGTAGCCAAGACAATCCTAAGCAAAACAACAAAGCTGGAGGCATCAAGCTACCTGACTTCAAACTATACTACAAGGTTACAGTAATCAAAGCAGCATGGTACTGGTATCAAAACAGATATATAGACCAATTGAACAGAACAGAGGCCTCCGAAATAACACAACATATCTACAACCACCTGATCTTTGACAAACCTGACAAAAATAAGCAATGGGGAAAGGATTCCCTATTTAATAAATGGTGCTGGGAAAACGGGCTAGCCATATGCAGAAAACAGAAACTGGACCCCTTCCTTACACCTTATACAGAAATTAACTCAAGATGGATCAAAAACTTAAATGTAAAACCTAAAACTATAAAAACCCTAGAAGAAAACCTAGGCAATACTATTCAGGACTTAGGCATGGACAAAGATTTCATGACTAAATTGCCAAAACCAATTGCAATAAAAGGCAAAATTGACAAATGGGATCTAATTAAACTAAAGAGCTTCTGCTCAGCAAAATAAACTATCTCAGAGAGCACACTCAATCTAAAGAATGGGAGAAAATTTGTGCAATCTATCCATCTGACAATGGTCTAATATCCAGCATCTACAAGGAACTTAAACAAATTTACAAGAAAAAAACACGCAACCCCACCAAAAAGTGGGCAAAGGATATGGACAGACTCTTCTCAAAATAAGGCATTTATGCAGCTAACAAACAAATGAAAAAAAAAAGCTCACCATCACTGGTCATTAAAGAAATGCAAATCAAAACCAAAATGAAGATACCATGTCACGCCAGTTAGAATGGTGATCATTAAAAAGTCTGGAAACAACAGATGCTGGCGAGTATGCGGAGAAATAGGAACACTTTTACACTGTGGATGGGAGTGTAAATACTTTAACCATTGTGGAAGACAGTGTGGTGATCCCTCAAGGATATAGAACCAGAAATACCATTTGACCCAGCAATCCCATTACTGAGTATATACCCAAAGGATTATTACTCATTCTACTATAAAGACACATGCACAGGTGTGTTTATTTTACAGCACTATTTACAATAACAAAGACTTGGAACCAACCAAAATGCCCATCAGTGATGGACTGGATAAAGAAAATGTGGCACATATACACCATGGAATACTATGCATCCATGGTAAAGAATAAGTTTATGTCCTTTTCAGGTACATGGGTGAAGTTGGAAACCATCATCCTCAGCAAACTAACATAGGAACGGAAAACCAAACACCACATGTTCTCACTCATAAGTGGGAGCTGATCAGTGAGAACACATGGATGCAGGGAGGGGAACGTCACACAATGGGGACTGTTGGGGGGTTGGGGGAAAGGGGAGGGAGAGCATTAGGACAAATACTTAATGCATGTGGAGCTTAAAACCTAGATGATGGGTTGATAGGTGCTGCAAACCACCACGGCACAGGTATACTTACGTAACAAACCTGCACGTTCAGCATATGTATCACAGAACTTACAGTAAAATAAAAAAAAAATGTGTCCAGGTAAATTTTATCTAGGTTAAATATAATTAACTACAAATTCTAAAGTAAATTATTTTAAATTAAAAAAAAGAAGGTATTGTATGCCAGTTTCACAGCAGTGCTCCTAAAAGTCAAATAATATGCCCAAAGTCACAAAGCTGGTATAAGGTGGAGTTGAGATGCAAACCCAGGTGTGTTTGATGCCTGAACCAATATAATTAAGCAAAATATTAAACTGCATCTACTGACTGGTAAGTAATGAGATATTTCACAGTACTAGTAAGATCAACCATTTATGGAGTACTTAACTATATTCTAGGCACCATACTGAATCCTTACCTTGTATCATCTCATTTAATATTATCAGTTGCTGTATGGTATAGCCTCTATTTTCATCACCATGTTATAGATGATGCTACTAAGATTAGACAGATTAAATACTTCAAAGTCTGGTAAATGGGAATTAAAATTCCCATTGAGTTTACCAGTTCCAGAGGTCTAACTCTTAACAATTACTTTATATGTGTTTCTCCATCATAAAACACAGCCCAGTGTCCATAGTACTATGGTGAAATCATAAACATAATGATATTTTGGCCTACACATTATTTGCTTTCAATAAGATATCAGCAATATACTCTTCTTTTTGTTTTTATGGCAAAAAAATGCCATTGAATGTCAATTTACTAATTTTCAGTAATTCTCCCTTTGGGGTAATATACATTCCTTATTTGTGCAAAATATCACTTGTGTTGTGTCTAGTATAGGGCAAATACTATTTAGGGATCAGACAAAGACAGTCAAAAATCCCTTTGCTCATATAAGTTATATTCCGGTTTTCGGGAGATAGGCAATAAATACGGGAACTAACAATATAGGCAGTCTTTCAGATATGGATAATTGCTATGAAGGGTAATAAATCAGGGAAGATAAATGTGCTGAGTGAAAACCCATTATTTATTAATACTGGATGGTGAAATGAGAAGGTACCTGTGTGGTGTGAAGTTAAAGACACCAGTAATACCTCTCCACCAGCACACACAACACAACACGTATGTAAGCTTACAGGCACATTAAAAAATTGTGTCTGATGTTTAATTGTTCACAGTTTCTGTTGTTCCAGAGTCCTGACATGGCTTAGCTGAGTTCTCTTCAAAGCTGCAATCAAAGTGTAAGTCAGGGTGGACTCTCATCTAAGGCCCTAAGATTTGACTACAGCAGAATACACCTCCAGGCTCACATACATAATTGTCGAGAGCATTTAGTTCCTTGCAGGCTGCCAGACTAAGAGCTACAGATTTTTGCTGGTGACCAGCCAGAGACTGCCTTCAGTTTCTTACCACAGGGCAGCTCCCAACAGGGCAGCTTGCTTCCTCAAACCAACAATGGTGAGAGTCTCCTAGAAGACAGGATACAATCTTATGTAACATTATCACAAACATGATATCCCATCACCTTTCCTGTTCTATTGGAAAGAAGCAGTCCACAGTTTCTGGCAACAGTCAGTGGGGAGAGGATTAACAAAGGAACAAACATAGAAGTGGGCATCATAGGGTCCATATTACACTATGTCCTCACATGATATAAACACATAGCAATTATATATATTATATATATATATATAAAATGTATGTTCAATATGTAAGTATTCAAAAATATATAACTGCGTTTAAACAAATAAAAAGTCTGTAGACAAGGAAAAAAATGAAAACAAACTCAAAGCAGAAAATGGAGCTAAAGCCACAGGACTGTTGATATTCTATCAGAAGACAGGCCATGATAGACTAGATCTAAGCTCAATTGGGATAAAGGGGCTAAAATTGTCCCACACCAGAAGATGAACTAGGGCCATTAGCACTGCTTGAAGCTGGTCCTTAGGGGAGGTACCAACCTCTCCCACTAAAAAATAAACTGGGAAAATAGGTTGTTTCACATCACTTCCAAAAACCTGAAATGTACATTAAAAAGAAGCTGCAGTCTCAGGAATAAGGAGGATATATGTACAGTTCTAGACCTAGTGACTAGCTGACTTCATGATTGAATCTATTGTTTTCCAAATATCACTTTGAAAGGAAGATCTTAAAATTTCTATATGAGTCCAGTTTTTGAGAAGATGTTCAACAGAAGTTTTCATTGAGAAATTACAAATTAAACAAGAGTTAAATGTCACTACACACCTATTACAATGGTTAAATCTAAAAAAAAATATCTAATACTGATGAGGATGTGAAACAATAGGAATTTTCATTCACGGCTGGGTGGAAGGCAACTTTTACAGATAGTATCGCCACTTTTGCAGACAGTTTGGCAATTTCTCACACAGCTAAACAAACCAACAAGTGTGCTCTTAGGTTTTCATCCAACTTATTTGAAAACTGTGTCGACACAAAAACTTGCGTTCAAATGTCTACAGAAAATTTATTTATAATCACCAATAACTGGAAGCAACCAAATTGTTCTTCAATGGGTGAATTGATAAACAGTGATACATCAATATAATAAAATATTACTCAGTGATAAAAATAAATTGATTAGAAAGCCACAAAAAGTATTAAACTAAAAATGCATATAATTAAGTAAAAGAAAATAGTCTGAAAAGGTTATATACTACATGATTTCCACCATAATGAAAAAAAAACAAAACTATAGAGAGTAAAAAGATCAGTGCTTAGCAGCAGTTTAGGGGGAAAAAGGAAGCATTGAATAAATAAAGTAGAGGGCATTTTAAGGCAGTGAAACCATTCTGTATGATGCTATAATGGAGGATACATGACACCATGCATTTTTTCAAACTATGTTCAAATTTGTAGCATTTTAAAAAGTGAACCTTTATGTATAGAAATGTTTTGAGAGAATACAATTTTATTTATAAAAAATAAGAAAAATATAAATAATACACTGAAATGATAAAAATGACAGACATTCTAATGTGGAGGATGCAGATATAAAAAGGTCTAGCATGATTGTGATTAAACTTTTAATTTAGTTGGGAAGATCCTCTCAGTATAGTAATAAACCATCATCTAATAACAGGACATCAAGTGTTCAAGTGATACCAACATTTCTTTAATTAACAAATTACTAAAGACATTTGTTGTATGTACTGTTTTTCATTTTATTATGTACAATATTTGCCCTGAACAAAAACCAAAGGCATAACATTAGAAACATTACCTATTTTGTCAAGAAGATAAGTTAATAATGCTAACATCCTCCTTTTCAGGTATCAAATTTTATATAAATGAGAATTTAAATGCCTAGAATGGTCAAATTGCATGGCACAAAAAACTTTCTTGTACATTTCAAAATAGCAAGAAGAGATAATTTTGAATGTTCTCACCACAAAGAAATGGTAAATGTTTGAGGTGATGGACTTGTTAATTACCTTGATTTAGTCTTTACACAATGCATACATGTATCAAAACAACAAATTGCACCCCATAAATATGTACAATTATTGTGTCAAAAACAAAATAAAATTTTTAAAAATATCAATAATTATTTCAGTGATTATTAGTCAGAAAATTTAATAATGAAAATAGTGCCATTTATGTGTGTTGACTAGTTAAGATTGACTAGTACCACTATTTTCAACAGTTGTTGAGCAGAAACATTACATTTCAGAAGAATTAGAATTCATGCTATTACTTATACAAGTTTAAATTATTGCAAATCAATGTGTATAGAGCTAAAGAATACACATATATGTCATTAAAAACAAAATCATTCAGAATAACAATTCAAAAAATAAGGGTCGAAGTTATATCTGGAGAAAGACAGTAAAATCAATCGCAGCTTCAATTGATTATGTAATATTCTCCATCATTTTATTTTCTGACTATATTCTTATTTAAAATGTCACACAGTAACAATTGAAAAACTGAGTGATAGGTATATGGGTGCTTATTATTTTATATATTATTTTCTTTATGTTTAAAATATTTTTTAAACTAAAACAAAACTATCATATCTCACAAAAAATGATTTGGCTATATTCACTAATTTCTTAACTGTAAGCTTTTCTAATTCACACATTGGCATTTGAAAACTGGCTCTCCTCACTCATTCTATCCCTGTGTAATACCTATTTATATTACATGCTTAATATGTGTTAAGGCCTGTGCAATGTATTTTAAATACAATACCTCATTTAATCCATGCAGAGTGTTCACTGATTCATTTTCTTAAGACACTGATAGTAGTATGTCATTTATTTTCTCAGATGTTCTCAATGTTGATTTTTGTCTGCCTAATACAAATTCAAACTTCTTAGTCTGTCATTTAATACCCTCTGTAATCAGATTCGTGTTAAGAGAAGCAAGTTAGACTTCAAGAGCGTATAATTTGTGATTATAGGTCACGTGGAGGCTTTAAGTGAGACATAGGTTATATATGCATGTAAGAACCAGGTACTTGCCTTTATTGCAGGAAGCTGGAGGAAATGAAGCCTCAAGAGTCTGTAAGTCACCAATGTAAAAGGTGGAAAATATGTCCAATACAGAGTAGGAATTAGAAAATTAGTTACAATTAATATAAAAAGCAAGGTGGAGATTGACATAATAAGAGGTCGAGTAGAGGAGTAAAAATCGTAAGTGCTTGTGGTGTCTATAGGTTCAGCAGATTGATTCATTCTTCACTGGACTCTCTTATTTAAGAGAACTTGAGTGGAAACTCTTAAGTGTGCTCTGAACTCCTATGGTTAGGACACTTTTATTAAATTATTTTTTTCTAGATCTCTGTAAATCTAAAGCAGAGTTTGCTGTTTTTACATTAATAAATGTAGCGTTTCAGTTAAATGTCATTATTTTTATTGTGAGATGATATAACAAAAGGTATGATCCTTTTTTAAGTTTTAATTTTAGTGAGTATATAGCAGGTGTATATATTTATGGGGTACATGGGATGTTTTGATCCAGGCATGCAATATGAAATAATGACATATTTAAAAAAATGTAGTTTCCATCCCCTCAAGCATTTTTCCTTTGTGTTATAAAAATTCAATTACACTCCTTTAGCTATTTTAAAATGAATTTATTATTGACTATAGTCACCCTGGTATGCTATCAAATAGTATGTCTTATTCATTCTTTCTATTTTTTGTACCCATTAACTATCCAACCTTGTCCCCATCACCCCCACTACCCTTCCCAGCCTCTGGTAACCATTCTTCTACTCTCTGTGCTCATAGGTTCAATTGTTTTGATTTTTAGATCCCACAAATAAGTTCAAACACATGATGTTTGTCTTTCTGTGCCTGGCTTGTTTCACTTAGCATAATGACTTCCAGTTCCATCCATGTCATTGCAAATGACTGGATCTCATATTTTTTATGGCTGTATATTACTCCATTGTGTCTATGTTCCATATTTTCTTAATTCATTCATATGTTGATGAACACTTAGGTTGCTTCCAAATATTAACTGTTGTGAATAGTCCTACAACAAACATGGAAGTGCAGATATCTCTTTCTTAGACAGATTTCCTTTCTCTGGGATATATACCCAACAGTGGGATTGCTACATCATATAGTAGCTCTATTTTTGGTGTTTTGAGAAACTTCCAAACTGTTCTATTTAGTGGTTGTACTAACTTACGTTCCCACCCACAGTGTACAAAGGTTGCCTTTTCTCCACATCCTGACAAGCATTTGTTATTGCCTGTCTTTGGTTATAAGCCATTTTAACTGGGATAATAGGACATCTCATTGTAGTTTTTATTTTACATTTCTCTGATATTCTATGATGTTGAGAACTTTTTCATATGCCTGTTTGCCATTTGTATGTTTTCTTTTGATCAAATCTTTTGCCTACTTTTTGATTTGGTTATTACATTTCTACCTATACAATTGTTTGAACTCCTTTTCTATTCTGGTTATTAATCGCTTATCAGATGAGTAATTTGCAAATATTTTTCCCATTCTATTTACTGTTTCTTCATTTTGTGGATTGTATCATTTGCTGTCCGTTTTTGCTTTGGTTGCCTGTGGTTGTGGGGTATTGCTCAAGAAATGTTTGTCCAGACCAATGTCCTAGAGATTTTTCTCAAAGTTTTCTTATAGTAATTTCATAGTTTGAGGTCTTAGACTTAAGTCTTTAATTTATTTTGATTCACGTTTTGTATATGGCAAGAGATAGGGGTCTAGTTTCATTCTCCTGCATGTGGATATCCAGTTTCCCAACATCAGCTATTGAAGACTGACTTTTCCCCAATATTCTTGGCAACTTTGTTGAAAATGAGTTCCCATTAAGTGTGTGGATACACACAAAATAAGCTGATCTTTTATATTTCTTTCCCTTGTCTCACAAAAAAATCCATAAATGAAGTTGCAAAATTAAATTAACCCTTTTTTCTTCCATATATATCAGGCCTGAGTAGTCCGTAAAGGCTACAAGTAAGTTAAATGTAGAAGTGGCTTAAATGTCCGTGATTCCTACTCCTGTTACACTGTACACTGACTTCTTTCTCCCAGCCTTCTCTCCAACCTATAGTGTTATGGGGAGTACCCTATAATATGGTTTGGATGTGTATTTCCTCTAAATCTCATATTGAAATGTGGTCCCCAATGTTGGAGGTGAGGCCTAATGGAAGAGTTTGCATCATGGAGGTGAATCCCTCATGAGTGTCTTGGTGCTGTCCTCGCAGTAATGAGTGAGCTGTCACTCTAGGACTTCACATGAGATCTGGTTGTTTAAAAGAGCCCGGCAACCCCTTCTCCTCTATCTTACTTCCTCTCTCACCATGTAACATCCTGGCTTCCCTTCACTTTCCACCATGACTGTAAGTTTCTTGAAACCATCATCAAAAGCAAATGCTGGCACTATGGTTCATGTATAGCCTGCAGAACTGTGAGCCAAATAAACTTATTTTCCTTATAAGTTAACCAGCTTCAGATATTCCTGTGTAGCAACACAAAGAAACTAATACACCCTATGATTAGTTGACAGAAGAAGAAAATTGGGCTGGTTCACAGATCTTTCTGCTTAATATTCAGGCAGCAGTCCAAAGTTAACAGCTAACATACTATAGCCCCTTTCTGGAATATTCCTGAAGGGCAATAGTGGAGGAAAACCTTGTAAGTGGGCAGGACTTCAGACAGTGCACGAGATTGTGTACTTTGCTTGGAAAGGAAAATGGCCAGATATGAGATTCCATAACCACACATGGACTATAGCCAAAGTTTTGGCTGGATGGTATGGAACTGGGAAAGAACTTGATTGAAAAACTGCTTACAAAGGTATTTGGGGAAGAGGTATGTGGGTAGACCTCTCTGAATGGACAAAGAACACAAATATGTTTATGTTTCATATGAATGCTTAACAAAGCATGACCTCAGCAGAGAAAAATTTTAATATCAAGTTGATTGTTTAATAATCAAATATGACCCATATTGTTGATACCAGCAAGCCTTGTTCCCAGTCATCTCTGTTATCACCCAATGAGCTCATAAACAAAGTAGCCTTGGTGGCAGAGATGGAGTTTCTGCATGGGCTCAGCAACATGGACTTGCATTCACCATGGACAAATTGGCTGTGACTATTGCTGAGTAACCAATCTGTCACAGCAGAGGCCAATTATGAGCCCCAAGTACAGCACCATTCTCCAGGGTGATCAGCCAGCTACCTGGTGGTAGGTTGATTACATTGGACCACTGCCATCATGGAAGGGCCAGCATTTTGCATTTACTGAATGATACAGTTTAGATATTTGTCCCCTCAAAATATCATGTTGAAATTTGATCCACAATGTTGAAGGTAGGGCCTGGCGTGAGGTGTTTTGGTCATGTGAGTGGATTCTTCATGAAAGACTTGGTGCCATTATTGAAGTAATGAGTGACTTCTCACTCTATTAGTTCCTGTGAGATACAATCGTTAAAAAAAATCCGGCACCTCTATCCCCTCTCTCTTGCTTCTTTCTCACCATGTGATCTGCACACATCAATTTCTTTTTCCCTTTCATCATAAGTGGAAGCTTTCTGAAGTTCTAACCAGAAGCACATGTTCATGCCATGCATCCTATACAGCTTGCAGAAGAGTGAGCCAAATAAACCTCTTTTCTTTATGCATTGCCCAGCTTCAGGTATTTCTTTAGATAAATGTAAATGAAATAGGACACTGGAATAGACACTTATTCTGAATATAAATTTGCCTATTCTGTACTCAATGTTTCTGCCAAAACTACCGTCCCTGAACTTATAGAATGCTTTATCTATAGTTATGGCATTCCACACAGTATTGTTTTTGACCAAGGAATTAACTTCACAGTCAAAAAAGTGTGGCAATGGGTTTATGCTCATGAACTTTACTAGTATTACAATGTTCTTCACCTTACCAAAGCAGATGGCTTGATAGAACAATGGGATAATTTTTGAAATTATTAATTATTAATAATATTTATTATAACAATTCAATATTCAGTAACAGTGCTGACTAGGTGGTAATATCTAGGAGACCTAGGGCAAAGTTCTCCAGAAGGGGATATATGCCATAAATCAGTGTCCAATATATAATACTGTTTTTCCCATTACCAGAATTCACTGGTCTAGGAATCAAGATGTAGAAATGGGCATGACACAACTCACAATTACTCCTAGTGACCAATTACAAAATTTTTGCTTTCTGTTTTCACAATTTTATGCTCTGCCGGCTTAGGGATCTTAGTTCCAGAAGAAGAAATGCTTTCACTGGGAGGCACAATAGTGATTCCATTGAACTGGAAGTTAAGAGTATTACCAAGTTATTTCCAGCTCCTCATGCCTTTCAGTCTGTAAGTCAAGTGAGGTATGGTGTTGGCTGGGGTAAGTGATTCAGACTATCAAAAGGAAATTGAACTATTTCTCCACAATGGAGATAAGAAAGAGTATTCCTGGAATACAGTAGATTCTTTAGGGTGTCTCTACGTGCTACCATGCCCTGTGAGTAAGGTCAATAGGAAACTGCAAAAACATAATCCAGGCAGGACTATAAATACCTCAGACTCTTATGAAATGAAGGTTTAGATCGCCCTACTAGGTTAAAAAAACTACCACTTGCTGAGGTGCTTCCTGGAGGCAAAGGGAATACAGAATGTGTAGTAGAAAAAAATAGTTACAAATACCAGCTATGACCATATGAATGGTTACAGTACTGAAGACTGTAATTGTCATGAGTATGTCCTGCTTTTTGATAAGAATGCCATTATGTTATGTGAGTATGTGTATATATATATATATGTACATCTATTAATCAAGTATCTTTGTTTTTTCTCCATTATTCCTTTATCATGAAACTTAAGATTTATTGACTTTATATCAGTATTAAAGTAGTATTAATTTTAAATTATAATATTTAAGTTAAGGGATATCAGAAGAGTAAACATCACTCAAGGACTTCATCTTCTCTTCTGGGGAAGATATTTGTACATGTATGATTGTAAGCAGGGTAGCTGTGTAATGTTGGGTACAACTATGGGATTGTTATTGTCTTTATTTGGAGATTAATTATGGTTTAAGGAGATGTGTACGGGTGCCACATTGATGAGGAGTGGATGTGTGGTGGTTAATATTAGGTATCAACCTGACTTGGTTAAGAGAAATACAGATAACTGGTAAAGCATTATTTTGGGGTATGTCTGTGAAGGTGTTATGGGGAAAGATTCACATCATAGTCAGTAAACTGGGTAAGAAAAATCTGCACTCATCCAATATGGGCAGGCACCAAATCTATTCAGGGCTCAGATTTTCAAAAAGGCAGAAGAAAGGTGAATTTGCTATCTCTTCTGGAGCTGGGTCACCCATCTTCTCATCTAAACTTTGCACCAGCAGCCACCCAAATTCTCAGTCCTTTGAACTTGGACTTAGCTAACAGCTTTGCTGGTTCTTGAGCTTGCAGGTCGTATACAGTGGGTATTCTCAGCTTCCATAAACAGGTGAGTCAATTCCCATGGTAAACCTTCTCTCATCTATCTCTGTCTGTCTATCTATCTGTCTATCTCTCTATCTGTCTATATCCTATCTGTTTTGTTTCTCTGAAGAACCCTAATTCACCAAAAGAATAGAGTAATTACTAACAGTTT
Organism: Homo sapiens; assembly: GCF_000001405.40. Taxonomy (NCBI): domain Eukaryota; kingdom Metazoa; phylum Chordata; class Mammalia; order Primates; family Hominidae; genus Homo; species Homo sapiens. The sequence continues at coordinate 4,064,561 of NC_000024.10, read as the reverse complement.
GGCCCATTTCTTTTTAAAAAATTTTAAAAATATTTTTGGGTACATAGTAGGTGTATATATTTATGGGGTACATGAGATGTTCTGATATAGGCATGAAATGTGAAATAAGCACATTCATTTTTTATACAAAAACCAACAAGCAATTATCATTTTTGTAGAAGTAATTTTGTTCAAATATGTTAATAAATGCATATCTTAAATGATAATGTTGTGGGATGCAGAAAGTCCCCTTAGGTTTTGCACAGAAACAAGTAGCTCTGAATTTTTGTAACTCTGCATATTTCTTATATCTCTCTAATAAGCCTTATTTATATCTAGTGTGTTTTGTTTAATGATTATGAGAATATAAGCTTTTTGAAAGAGGATGTAAATTTAATGTGTCTCTATAATCTCTATAGCACCTACACACAGTAGACGCACAATAGATGTTTACTAAGAAATAAATATAAGAAACTTAAATGAGTGCCTGTCAAAGGACTTTAATGATCAGCTACTTAGTCATATATACAATATTAAAAGAATTCTGACTATAAAAGATGTTGTAGAGAGTCTCTCACAAATTAGTCAACAATAAACCTGAATAAGAAAGTAAGATTATAAAAAATGTATATAATAAAATTAGGCATGTGTTAATTTACAGTTCTGGCCAAGATGGAGGTACAGAAACCAGAATTACCCTCATACATGAAGCAGCCAAAAAACTGACAAATATATAAAACAACAGTTTTACAAAACACTGTACATCAGACAACAGAGGACAGTGATCTTTGAGATAGAATAAATAAACAAATGAGACTCTGATTGCACCAGCTACTGCTTTGCAAAAGTTTCCAGACGCCAGAAAGAGCAAAGCAGACTTTCTGAGTTGAAGATAGAATCCACAAAGGTTAAGGCATCTCAATTTTTTTCAGACAGAGTGCTGGAGAGGAGAAAACTGAAAAGAAAAAAAAATCTACAGATCTGCAAAGAGTCCATCTTGAATAGTCAGCTGAAAACTGGCATTCACAAAGTCAACCACCTTAGGGTGGAAAAAGAATTGCCAAAAATGAACAGAGGGGATAGTACTCAGCGGTCACACAGAACCAAAAATAGTTTCTGTTTCCACAAGACAGACAAAAAAGTCTTTGATTCATGGAAAATTGGAAGGAGTACTCATTCGTATATTTTATGATTCATGGGAAATAACCTTAAGCTAAACATTATTCTGAGCCTGCCTAAAATGCCTTAAAAACAAGACTCAAGAGGATCAAACTCTTACAAGTAAGTTGACTGTGTTCTAGAATGAAGCTCAAAAATGCTTTTAAGAATTCACAAATATTTAGCACTGAATAATGTAAAATTCACAATGTATACATCAACCAATAAAAATTTCTTAAGCATGCAAAGACTCAAAAGAGTTTAACCCATTCTAAAGAGATAAATTAATCAATTGAAACTGACCCAGATTTGACACAGATTTTAGAATTATGAGATTAGAGAAAATAATTATAATTATTTTATACAGACATGGAAGATGTTTAAAAGACCCCAATCAAACCTTTGAGATTAAGAAATGCAATGTCTCTACCCAAAATACAAAAATTAGCCAAGTGTAGTGGCGGCACCTGTAATTTCAGCTACTCAGGAGGCTGAGGCAGAGAATTGTTTAAACCCGGGAGGCGGAGGTTGCAGTGAGCCGAGATCGTGCCACTGCACTCCACTCTGGGTGACTGAGCGAGACTCCGTCTCAAAAAATAAATTTTATATATATATATATATGTATATATGTATATATATAAAATATATATGTATATATATAAAATATATATGTATATATATAAAATATATATGTATATATATATACAATATATATACAATAAATATATATATATTTGTATATATATATATGTATTTATATATATATATAAAATATATATATAAAAATATATATACACATGTATATATATATTATATATTCAGTATATATGTGTGTGTGTGTGTGTTTGTGTGTGTGTGTGTATATATATATATATATATATATATATATATATATATATATACCTAATAGAATGGGCAGCTGTTGAGGACTGAATGTTTGTGTCCCCACTCACATTCATATGTTAAAATCTAATCCCCGGTATGATGGTATTTGAAGGTGGAGACTTTGGAAGGCAATTAGGTCATGAGGATGGAGCCCTCAGAAATGGGAGTAGTGTTCTTAAAAACAAGAGGCCAAAGGGATAGCTCACTCTCTCTCTATCATGTGAGGATATTATAAGAAAGTGGCTCCCTGCAACCCAAAAGAGGAACCTCACCAGAACCTGACCATGCTGGTGCTCTGATCTCAGATTCTCAGCCTTCAGAACTGGGAGAAATAAATTTCTGTTTCTTCACAAGCCACCTAGTATATGGTATTTTTTATAGCAGCCTGAATTTACTACGACAACAGAAAATCAGTCATTGCAGTATAAGAGATCCATGAACTTAAAGATATAGCAGTAGAAACTTTCCAGCATATAATAGAGATTAAAAAAAAAAAAGCAGAGAACCAGTGAACTGTACTGTAATTTCAAGTGTCTTAATATATGTGTAATTGGAATTCTCAGAGAAGAGCAGAAAAGGATTAGAGGAAAAAAATATTTGAAATATAATGGCTGAAAACTTTCCAAACTGAAAGAAAATTCTAAAACTACCAATTCAGGGAGTTAACATCAAGCAAAAGAAACATGAAGTTATTACATTATGCCAAGGTAACTTAGTTATGTGTTGCTGCATAACAAATTACTCCTAAGCATAGCAAATTAAAAAACATTTACTATCTCAGTTTCTGTGAATTAGAATTTCAGGTGTAGCTTAGTTTGATGACTCTGACTCAGGGTTTCTCATAAGGTTGCAATGAAAGTGTCATCAGGGAATTCAGTAATATCAAAGTTTGAATGAGAATGGTTCCTCTCACAAGCTCACTCACGTGGCTATTGGCAGGCCTCAGGTCACTGCTGCTTGCTGGCTTAAAACATCAGCTCCATGTGGTTTTTCATAGAGCCACAACCTGGTGATATGGACAGGAAGCAGGAAAATACTGGGTAGAAGAGGGCAGTTCCCCAGCAAAGGCCCCACCCTCAAGCCTGGAAACCTGTGGCCCTACATGGAAACAAGCATTCCTATTTTTGCACCCATATGTTTCCTTTTGGCCTGCTATGCCCCCCTGTCTTGTACCTATATAAACCCCAAACCCCAGGCTCCACGAGCAGAAGAGCAGCTGAGCAGAAGAGTGGCAGAATGGCATGGCAGAGAAAGAGAGAAGAGAAGGAACATCTGAACATCCAGAGAAGTTCGGCTGGAGATAGTTGGAGAGATCAGCTGTGGGATGGTCAAACTTCAGGGGAAAATCATCTCACTCCATCCCCTTTCCAGCTACCTATCCATCCTGCTGAGAGCCACCTCCATCTGTCAATAAAATACCCTGCATTTGCCATCCTTCAATTTGTCCATGTGACCTGATTTTTCCTGGACACTGGACAAGAACCTGGGTACCAAGAGGGCACTGAACTGGTGAACACTTAAGCCATCTGTGGAAGGCAGAGCTAAAAGAGTACTGCAACATGCCTACTGGGGCTTTGAGAGTGGCAGGCATCCATCCCTAGACACTACCATGGGGCTTGAGCCCAAAAGTGCTTGCCCCAGTTTTTGTACTTGCCCATCCATGTGTTTCCACTAATGTAAGGGGTTTGAATGCATGGTAGCCAAAGAGACAAGCCACACCCGTGTCACACATCCTGCAAGGGGGGACCGGGAACTCTCCCATTTCAATGGCAGTTGACTTCATTCAGAGCAAATGAGTAAATGAGTGAGATGATAAGAGAGAAAAGTGCTAAAGGCAAAAACCACAGTATTCTTGAAACCTCATCTCAAAATTGACATCCCATTAGTGTTGCCATATTCAATTTCTCACACATGAGTTACTAGCTTCAGTTCATTGTCAATATTATACAAAGACATGAACACCAGGAGGCAGGATCATTGGGGACCATCCTGAAAGTTTTCCTACCACATGATTCATGAATGCCAGAAGGCTACATCATAATCAAATTGCTAAAATAGAGCGATAAATTAAAAAGATTAAAGGCAGCCATAACAACAACAAAAAAATAACACATTACATACAAAGGGACAAAGATAGGGATAACAACAGATTTGTGGTCAAGAAAGAAAATACAAGCAAGAAGACATAGGAGCAATATATTGTAGGGTCAGGAGGGGAAAAATTGAAGTACACTTATAAATTGTTTGTACTATGCATGAAGTAATATAATATTAGTGAAGGTTTAATATTTGAAAAGCACTCAGTTTATTTCACCAATAAGGAACTAAATAAGGGAAGCCATATAATTATCTCAAGAGACATAGATAAAGCATTTAACAGTCAAAGAAAAATGTCCAATAAGCAGTTAGATATAACATCAAGTGAGTGGTTTAAAGTATAATTAGATTTGGGAATTGATTACAAAGAAGTTAAAGGCAAAGTTCTAAAAATGAATGAGTTATCTTAGCAATTGCTAGTATTCACTTTTCACAAACTTCTGTTTCTTTACTGGATATTAAATTTTGGCTTTGACTAACTTCTAGGGCTGTTCTTCAGATACTATCTTTACTATGTTGGAATTCAATCTTGGTATACATAAATTCTATAACACTCTTGAAACTTAAGCAGAAAATTCATGCCTAGATTTTTTTCCTATGAATAAGCTTGGAAACCAAATCTTCTTTCTTTGCTCTTTCTGTCAAAAAATTTTCAATTTCTTGATCATATGCCTTGGAATTTGCATTGCTTTGGGATCCATTTCAACCTCCATGTTGAAATTATCTTCCATATGGTTGAACCACTACTGTATATTAGGGCATATCTATGCTATTTATTTATTTACATTTTGATGTCCCTTGATGGGAATGACTCTGAGAGCTAGATTTGCCCTCCTAGCTGCTATTCCATTGTTGCTGACTCCCAGATGCTCAACATGATTAAAACCTTACCTGTCCTATTGTTCATCTAACTTGCTCACTTTAGGAGGACTCCAGTATTACCTGATTCCAACCTTGAGAAATCTGCAGAGACTCTTAACCCTAAATAAATGAAAAGTCCTACTTGTTGGCTCTCTACCCTGTCAATTCTTACTTACATATCCCTAGCTATTCCAACAACAAAAAAGAGACAGACATTAAATGAAACTTAGGTAAAACCAAAAGCTTTTTTTTAAAATTATCATGGGAAATTCTTAAGTGAAAGTTAAACCATAAGACTATTTTCCAATCTTAAAAAAAATCAATGAATTAGTCTGTCAGTATCTCACGTCATCCATAGTTATATTTATATTTGAATGTTGCATTTATTTTAATCTACTTTATTTTTAGAACAGCTTTAGATTTACAGAAAATTTGAGATGGCACAAAGAATTCTTGCTTAACTTTACAGAGTCCTTTCCATTATTAACACCTTTAGTATTGTGAATATTCTACAAGAGATGAACCAATTTTGATACATTATTATTAACTAAATTTAATAGTTTATATTTGTTAGCTGTGTCACACTGTTCTTTCATTATTAACAACTTTATTGAGATATGTTTATTTACCATAAAATTTACCTATTGAAAGTGTCAAATTCAATAGCTTTTAGTGTGTTGTGTATACAACACCACAATTTTAAAATATGAACATTTTATTACCCACAAAAAAGACCCCTTACCTCTTAGCCATCACTTATTAATTCTCCCATCCTCCCCAGTCCTAAGCAATCACTAATCTACTTTCTGTCTCCATAGGTTTGGCTATTATGAACATTACATATAAATATTACCATACAATAGGTGATCCTTTGCAACTGCTTTCTTTCAATTAGTATAGTGTTGTCAAGGTTTATCCTTATTGTAATATGTATCAGCAGTCCATTCATTTTTATGCTTGAATAATATTCCATTGTATGAATATACCACATTTTATTTACACCTTAATTCATTAGTGGATAATAAGTTGTTTATAATTTTGGGCTATTATTAATGCTTCATTGAACATTTGAGTAAAAGTTTTTGTATGCTTTTACGGTTTGTCTTACATATCAACTTAGCTAGGCTTTTCAATCAAATGCTAATCCGGGGATTGCTATGAATGAATTTTATAGACATGGTTATCATCCACAATCACCTGAATTTAAGTAAAGGATATTTTTCTCTATAATGTGGGTAGATATCATCCAATCAGTGGAAATACCTTATAAGCAAAACTGAGATATCTCTGAAGAATAAATTGTACCTCAAGACTAAAAAATCCAAGAGTTTCCAACCTGTTGGCCTGCCCTGTGGATTTTACCCTTGTGAGCCACCACAATCATGTGGGATAATTACTTCAAGTAAATAAATAAATATATATTTACTTATTCAAAACCTACACACAGCACCTTTATTTGTGTCTTCTGGAATTAGAAGTATGTTCAAGTTCTAACAGGTCCTAAAGAGTGAGGTCCAAAGTGTGGAGCACTAGGAGAAGCACTACACTTCAAAACAACTGCAAGATTTTTTTCAATGAATACACAGAAATCTCAAGAAATTGTATAGAAAAGGTGTAGAAATATAATATTGTAAATTAAATCTGCAAAATTATAATTTTTAAATTATAAACTAAGTAATACATCTATGTATTATATAAATGGTTAAATTATATTAATTTTAAATTATATATAATTTTACATATTAATATAAATTTATAAATTATAAATTCAATTAAATTTATAAAATTGCGGCAGGAATATAAAATTGGTTCAGGTTGAATTTATTAATATTAGCCCATAATAGAGATTCTATACTCAATGTTGTAGCCCAAGGGCTTAGAAAGGGCTCTAGTAATTTACCAACTTATTGGTCTATGTTTCAGCTGACCAACCAAATAACCCTCTTACTAGGGTGATTGTGTATTGGAAAAAATAAGTAAACAGACTTTTTGGTGACTACTGGACACTGGCTCTACAGTCACACTAATTCCACAAGATGCAAATTGTCACTGTGCTCCACCAGTCAGAGTAAGGGCTTGTGGAGTCAGGTGAGTAATGAGGTTTTAGCCCAGGTCCATCTCACAGTGGGTATAGTGGGTGCTCAAACCCATTCTATGGTTTATTTCTCAAAATGAACAATAGGAATAGACATCCTCAGTACCTAACAGAATGCCCACATTGATATTCTGACCTGTGGAGTAAGGGCTACTATGGAAGAAAATGTCAAATAGAAGTCATTAAAACTGTCTGTATGTAGGACAATAGTGAACATGAAGCAGTACTGCATTCCTGAAGTAAATGCAGAGATTAATCCCATCATCAAGGACTTAAAAGATTCAGGCATGGTGATTCTTATGATATCTTCATTCAACTCTCCTATTTGTCCTGGATAGAAAGTAAATGGATCATGAAGAATGAAAGCAGATTATAATAAACATAACCAGATAGTGACTCAACTCTTTACTGTTCCAGATGTGGTTTAATTGCTTGAGAAAATGAACATATTTCTTCTAGCTGGTATGTGAATATTGATATGGTAAATGAGTTTTTCTCAATATCTATTAAAAAAGGCTTACAAAAGCAGCTTGAGTTGGTGAAGCAACCTTTATTATTCTGCCTCAGGAGCATAGAAACTCTGCACTCCTATCATTTAGTCAAAACAGACCTTGATTTACATCACCTTTTCATAAGCTATCACAATGATCCATTACATTGATGACATCATGCTGATTGGACCTAGTCAACAAGACCTAGTAGCCACTCTAAAGTTGTCATTAAACGTTTGAGTGGTAGATAGTGGAAAATACATCCAACAAAAATCCAATGACATCTCAGGTCGGAGAAACTTTTAGGAGTTCAATAGTGTGAGCCATGTTGAGATATCCCTTCTAAGGTGGAGAATACATTGTTTTCTTCAATCGCTCCTAAAACCTAAAATAAGTAATAATGTCTAATGGGACTCTTTTGATTTTAGAGAAAACATATTTCTAATTTGGGTGTACTACTCAAAAGCTGCTAGTTTTGAGTGGGACCAGAACAAGAGAAAGCTCTGCAACAGTTGATGTGAAAGCTGTTTTGTCACTTAGGCCATACGATCCATCTGAAATATTCAATTATGCTTTAATTATCAGAGGCAGAGAAAGATGCTGTTTGGAGGCTTTGGCAGATCCCTATAGGTGAATTACAGTGAGGTCCTTTAGGATTTTGAAGCAAAGTCTTGCCCTTCTCTGCCAATAACTCTTCCCTTTTTAAGAACAAGATTTCAGCTTGCTACAAGGCTTAAGTACAGATTAAAGCTCAAATATGAGCCCCCAAATTATCCTGAGATCTAAGCTGCCCATTATTACCTGAGTGTCTGATCCACAAAGCCATACATTTGGGCATGCACAGCAGCACTCCCTTAAATGGAAATACCATATAGGACATTGGGCTCATGAATTTCCTGAAGGCACCAACAAGTTGCATGAGGAAATGGCACAAATGCCCATGATGCAATTCCTGCTGCATTACTTTTACTCTCCTAGCTCATTCCTTCAAACTGGATAATTTAAATTTTATTTTCTTGCCCAATTGTCATGGGTTAAGCCTCCAGTACAATAATGAATAGAAGTGGTGAAAGAATATATTGTTATTCTTACCTTTTCTTGATCTTATGGGGAAATCATTTAGTTTTTCACCATTAAGTATAATTCTAGCTGTGAACCTTTCATATATCCTTTATCGGGTTCAGGAAGTTTCTTTCTCTTCCTAGCTATTGGGGGTTTTATTACAAACGGATGTTAAATATTGTTAAATGATTTTTCTGTTTTTATTGAGGTGATTTTGTGTTTGCTTTCTTTTATTGTATTAATATGGTACATTGTGTAAATTAATTGTGAGATATTAAATCAACCATCTATTCCTGGGATAAATCCTACTTGATAATGGTGTATCATCTTTTATAAATGTTGATGAACTCAATTTGCCAGTATTTTGTTGAGGATATCTATATCTGGTTTTATAAGCAATATGAGTATGTAGTTTTATTTATTTATGATACCTACATCTGGTTTTATAAGCAATATGAGTATGTAGTTTTATTTATTTATGATGTCTTTGTCTGGTTTGGTAATAGGTTAATAATGGCCTCATAAAAACAGTTGCAAAGAGTCTCTACTATTCTATTTGTTTGAAAGACATTGTGAAGAATTAATATTACTTCTTTAAATCTTTGGTATAATTCAATAGCAAATACAAGTATGGCTGGACTTTTTTATATAAAAGGTTTTTTTTGTTACTAATTCAAACTTTGTACTATGGATTGGAATATTCTGATATTCTGTTTAGGTCTTGAGTTTACTAGTTTGGATCTTTCTAAAATTGTGTTCATTTGATCTAAGTTATTTGGTTTGTTGTCATACAGTTATTCATAGTAACTCTATAATTCCTTTTATTTATATAAGGCTAGTAGTAATATTAATACTTCATATTTCCTATTTTATTTTTAAATACTTATTCATTCATTTATTTATTTATTGTGAAGAAGGGGTCTCACTCTCTTGCCCAGGCTGGCCACAAACTCCTGGCCTCAAGCAATCTTCCCACCTTGGCCTACCAAATTTCTGGGATTATAGGCATAAGCCACCACCTGTGGCCTATTTCTTATTTTAGTAAATTGAGTCTACTCTCTTTTATTCTTGGTCAATTGACCTGAAGATTTTTTTGGTTCAAGTGATCATTTAGAAGAATAAACTTTTTGTTTTATTAATATTTCCCTATTTTTTTATTTTCTATTTTACTCATTTGTACTTTATTCCTTATTGTTTCCTTTCTTTTGCTTACTTTGGTTTTACTTTTCTCTTATTTTTCTAGTGTTTCAGAGTGAATGGTTAAATCATTTATTTGAAAATTTTATTCCTTTTTAGACAGGTATTTTGCAGTTATAAATTTTCCTCTATGTACTGCTGTAGCTGCATCCATACATTTTTGTATGTATTTTATTTTTATTTATCTCAAAGTATTTTTTAACTTTTTTAAATTTTTAATCCTTTGGGTACATAGTGGATATATATATTTATGAGGTACATGAGATATTTTAAAACAGACATATAATGTGTAATAATCACATCAAAGTAAATGAGGTATCCATCACCTGAAGCATTTTTTCTTTCTTTGAGTTACAAACAATCCAATTATACTATTTTAGTTATTTTAAAAGTACAATAAATTATTTTTGACTGTAGTCATCTTGTTGTGCTATCAAATCCTAGATTTTTTATTTCCCTTATAATTTCTTTTTTGAGCCATTGATTATTTAGTAATGTGTTTTATACTTTTACTTAATTGTAATTTTCCATTTCTTTTCTCTTATTTATGTGCAACTTCTTTTCATTGTGATCAGAGATTTTTTTTTTTTTTTTCTGAGATGGAGTCTTGCTCTGTCACCCAGGCTGGAGTGCAATAGCACAGTCTAGGCTCACTGCAACCTCTGCCTCCTGGGTTCAAGCGATTCTCCTGACTCAGCCTCCTGAGTAGCTGGGACTACTGGTGCATGCCACCACATCTGGCAAATGTTTATATTTTTAGTAGAGACAGGGTTTCACCATGTTGGCCAGGCTGATCTCAAACCCCTGAATTCATGATCCACCTGCCTCAGCCTCCCAAAGTGCTGGGATTACAGGTGTGAGCCACCATACCCGGCCAGAGATGATACTTTTTATGGTTTTAATTCTTCCATATTTTTAAGTTTTGATGATACGTGTTCTATTATAGTGAATGCTCCATTTGCACTTAGGAAAAATGTATATTCTGATGCCCCAGGAATTTGTATTCTGCTGTTGTTGGAGTCTATAAACAATTCTTTGCAGAAATCTCTTAGGTCTAGTTTGTGTATATGATTCAAGACTTCTATTTCATTTTTAATCTTCTGACTAGTTTCTCTTCCCATGACTGAGAGTGGTGATAGTAAATTCTCCAACTATTATAATTAAATTGCCTTGATTTCCCCCCAATTCTATCAGCTTTTGTTTCATGTATTTTGGGATTCTGTTGTCGGGTGCTTAAATGTTGATTATTGTTATAACTTCCAAATGGACTGACCCTTTTATCATTATAACATGTCACACTTTCTGTTTTACTTTTTTATCTGACATTGTAATATTCACTCCAACTTTCTTAAGGTTACTCTTTGCATAATATACCATTCGTTTCTCTTTTACTTTCACCTATTTGTATGTCTGAATCTAAAATGTTTCTCCTGTAGATTGTATATAGTTGTATCTTGTTTTTAGATTTAGTCTGACAATCCATGCAACTTGACAGGATTGTTTCCTCCATTCACATTTACTCTTCTTATTGTTATAGTCAAATTTACATCTTTCATTCTACTTTTTGTATTGTATATGTTTCATGTCTTTTTTTGTTTCTGTATTTCATATTTATTTATTTTGTATAAAGTAAATATTTTTTAATGTAACATGTTAATTACTTTAATTTTTTAAATTTTTTAAATTCTATTTCATTATCTTTATGGTTGCTCTAGGGTGTATTATATGCATCTTAATTTATCATAACCTGCCTCAGATTTAAACTAACTTAATTCCATGGATATATAGAAATATTACTATAATATAGCTCTATCTAATTCCCTTTTATTTGCTATTATTGTTACACACATTATATCCATATAACTTACAAACACAAAAATTCATTATTATAATCATTATTTACATAATTTTATATTTATTAAAGAAGCTGAGAAAACAATTGTATAATTACAGACATTGTAATATTAATTTTTTGTTTATTATTAATTTTTATTTCATTTGTGCATAAGGTTTCAAGTAGCACGTAGTTTAACTTTCTTAATCCAATACAATTTTGCTTCCTCCTGCCATCTGTATGCTATTGGTTACTGGTCTCATTGTCAAATACATTCTATTTCTATATTTAACAGGCCAAAATATATAATTATATACATATTGTTTTATGCAATTGCTAATTAAACCAGTGAATAGAAGTAAACAATCTATGTATATATTGTCTTTTGTAATTACAAAATTACCTTTAACAATGCTGATAATTTTTTATGTCCATGCTTATTTTCTTTTGAGGGAGAAGAAAAGGTCAATTAGGTAAACAGTTAAGGCTGGTCTCAGAGAAGCAGGCTGCCTGAAAAATCGAAGCTAGAGGCAAAAATAGAGCAGCTTGGGGAAAACTCAGGCTGCACCTGCATAGATAAGCAGCACAGAACCCTTATGTTCTTTGTGTGATTAGCGAGCTCCCAGAAAAAAATATATATTTGCTTCCCTTTTCATGCATATACGTGGTGTGCTTTGTGGGAACTTGCACAGGGAGAAGGGGGGCTTACCTAAAACAAATCCACAATTACACGAACAAGAGAAGTAGTGCATTGTGCTTGTCTAGAGATATACCGAAAACTACATAGATAAGGGGGAGTTGTGAAGAAGATTTGATAGATAGGAGAAGTTACTCAAATGGCTACAGAGCTGATAGGGGGTTCTTATAAAAGCTTTTGGATTCAACTGTAAAACAGCAACCTGTCTGGGACCCCTCTCTGCTGCAGAGAGCTTTCTTCTTTCGCTTGTTAAACTTTTGCTCCAACCTCACCCTTTGGGTCCACGTTCTTAATTTTCTGGTTGTGAGACCACGAGCTCAGATTACAACTTAGACAACAAGACCAGTGACCTTCCATTGTTTCACTTTCACCCTAAAGAACTTCATTCAGTATTTCTTATAAAGTAAATGTACTAGCAATGAATCCTCTCAGATTTTGTCTGTGAGTATTTTTATTCCTCTTTCATTTTCAAAGATAATTTTACTGGATGCAAGATTCTTGCTCAGCATTTTCTTTCCTAGTACTGTAAAAATGTCATTCCACTGATAACTCACCACCATTCCCCGAGGGAAAGAAAGCTGCTAACAATTTATTGGGTTTCTCTAAGATATGGGGAGTCATTTTTAAATTTTTTTTCTTGCAGCATTCATAACTTCCTGTCTGTGGCTTTTCATTATTTTTATTTAAATGTGTCTTGGTGTGAATCTCTTTCCATTTATACCACTTGGACTTTGTTGAGCTTCTTGGATATGTAGATTAATGTTTTTCAGCAAATGTTAAAAGTTTTCAGCCATACACTGTTGAATATTTTTTAATCTTTCTGTTTCTCTTCTCCTTTTGACATTTCTAGCATGTGTATGTTAGTGTGCTAAAAGGTATCTTGCAATTCTCTGGGGTTCTATTCATTTGTCTGTATTCTATTTACTCTCTGTTTTTCAGATTGCATAGTCCATATTAATCTGTCTTCAAGTAATCTGATTTTGTTTCTGCAATTTCAAATCTGTTGTTAAACTCCTGCAATACATTTTTTTCATTTAGGTTATTTTTAACTCCTGAAGGTTCATTTAAAAACATATTTCCTATCTTTTGAAAGCCTTATATTTCTCTATACATCTTTAATATTATCTCCTTTAGTTCTTTAGACATATTATAATGGCTATATTGAATTTGTTCTTTGTTAGACATGACTTCTCACTGGTCATTATCACAGGCAGTTTTTCTTGCCTGCATTTTTGTGTATATGTTGGTCACATATTTATGTTTTTTCATGTGACCCTTAATTTTTGGTAGAAGACTGAAAATTTTACAGAATACATTATAACAACTTTAGATACTGATTTTTCACCCCACTCTCTGGTGCCTGTTTGTTTTGTGACTTGTACAAGCTATTTTAGTGAAGTGTATTTGCTTCACTGTGTGAAAATTATGGTGTGACTCCCCAGAGAATATAGACTTGGAAATGGATGTGCAGTCATTTGAGAATGACAGTGTTTTTTTAGGGCCGTTTTTTACTGTCTCAATCTCTCTGTTAAGCATCTGCTACATTTGATATTCACATTCTGTCCTTTAGTTTCTACTATTTACTGGCTTATTGCTCTATTATTTTTCACAATGTCATGGCACAAATTGCTCCATAGTCTGCTGTACTTAAATTTGGACAGGGGTAGTGTTTGAGGCCAAACTTTGACACATTCTTTCCAACAAGGGCTCTTCTTAGCTATCTCTTTCTATCTGATGAACTAGTTCACTTTGTTTCTCCCGGGTGAATGTATTGGCTATGGTTAAGCTTCTGTTGCATAATTAAGAGGAGTTATTATTTTGGGGAATACTTATATTTGAACTTCTCCACACCGTTTTATATAAATTCAGTTACTTTGTGGAGAGGTCTGAACCTCTCTTTTGTTATTCAACTGCTTCTCGTCCTGGGAAAACTCTCTGGAAATTATGCAAGAGAGTAGTCCCTTGTCCTTTTAGGTTGCCTCTCACAGCATGGTAGCTTTCCCAAACCAGACACTTGGATCTAGAGCACTGTGGGTCCAAATATCAGTCTGATGTGCCTGAGAAACAGTGCTTGTCCTGTGGGTATGGGTTGGGTGGAGGATGTGAGCCCTTTTCCTCTTGGTCACCAAAAAAATAAATAAATAAAATAAAATAAATTGGAATTTAACCTCTTTAACTTGTAGTTACATATAATAAATGCTGTCATTTTGCCCCACTCGGTCAGAAATGGCAACACTTGGTAGGAAGTTTGACCCATCTTTTTAGCAATACCTGCTCAGAGGGGTGGTTACATCAAACTGAGCTGAGGTCATGACAGAAAGTTGGTTATGGCTCAAATGACACATGATTTACAGTTCTTAGAATTATGGCTGATTATTTTGAACAAATCTTTCATCACTTTTCTATATACCTTAGGGTAATTTTCAGAGACTTTAAAATATTATGTTATCATTTTCATAAGATATTCTTGCTTCACCATGGAATGGATCCACAAAGCTTCAAACATTGTCATCCAGATGAGAAACAGAATTCTTTACTTTCTGGCCAGGCGCAGTGGTTCACGCCTGTAATCCCAGCACTTTGGGAGGCCGAGGCGGGCAGATCACGAGGTCAGGAGATCCAGACCATCCTGGCTAACACGGTGAAACCCCGTCTCTACTAAAAATACAAAAAATTAGCCGGGAGCGGTGGCAGGCGCCTGTAGTCCCAGCTACTCGGGAGGCTGAGGCAGGAGAATGGCGTGAACCCGGGAGGCGGAGCTTGCAGTGAGCCGAGATGACGCCACCACACTCCAGCCTGGGCGACAGCAAGACTCCGTCTCAAAAAAAAAACAAAAAATTCTTTACTTTCTACCTAGTGTCTTTTCCTCTTTCAGGATTCCATCCAGAACACCACACTACATTTAGTTGTCATGTTTTCTTAGGCTCCTCTTGGCTGTAACAATTTGCCATATTTTATGTTTGTTTGTTTTCGGCAGCCTTGAGAATTGTTGATCAGATATTTTGCAGGATGACCCTCTATTGTAATTTCACTGATGCTTTTCTCATGATTAGCTGGAGTTACGAATTTTTGGGAGGAGGTGAACAGAGGTAAAGTGCCATTTTTACCACAACATATAATGTTTTGCATGACATAAACTTTTATATTGGTAGTTTTATTTTATTTCAATATTTTAAATATTTCAACCTTCATTCTCTTCTTGCTTACTGGGTTTCTAGTAAGTAGCCCAATGTAATTCTTAGGCTTACACCTCTATAACTAAAATGTTTTATTCTCTCTCTTCATTGAAGCATTTTTTTTTTTTTTTTTTTTGGCCTTTGATTTTCTGCAGTTTGACTGTATGCCAAGCTCTAGATTTTTTTGTATTTATCCTTTTTTGGTGTCCTCTAAGCTAACTAAATTCTACAGTTTAGTGTCTGACATTAATTTTGGAAAGTATCTTCTCTTCTTATATTCTATTTATAACTGTGTTACACATTTTGAAATTGTAACACAATTTTCAGATGTGTTTTTTAAAATTTTTTATTTTCTTTTGTTTTTGCTTTTCAGTTTGGGGAATGTCTAATGACATATTTTTATCCTCACTTATTCTTTTATCAGCAGTGTCAGTGTAATGATGTGCCCGCCAAAGGCATTATTTGTCTTGTTTTATTAGATATTTTGTTTTAATTCTTTCTTAGAGACCATCTCTCAGGTTATATTTCCCATCTGTGCTGTCATGTGGTCCACATGTTCCATTATAGCTCTTTAACATATTAATCAAGATTATTTTAAATTTCATATCTGATACTTCCAAAGTATGTGTCATATATAAATTTGGTTTTAATGTTTGTTTTGTCTCTTCAGAGTGTATATTTCCCTGCCTGTTACTGTCATTTGTACTTTTTTAAGATGGATAGGTTATACTAAATAATAAAAAATAATTTATGCTTTTAGTGTAATGTTTAATGTTAATCTGGCTAGGAGTTATGCTGTGTTCTAATGTTTGCTGTAACTGTAGATGCCAAAGGCTTCAATTTTCTCTACTGTCCATGTCTTTATCTCTCCTATTGTTTTTAGGTTTTCCCATACACAACTTCTTAAATAGACTCAGTGTCTTGTGGCTCTTTCAGTTGTAATTTACTGTTTATTCACAAGAGCTCTGCTGCCGTGATGGCAAGGAATGGGGAAAGAAAGCATTCTAATATTTGATTGTAGCTCTGTCTTTAAGTGAGCTTGTGCCCCTTGGCTGTGGTGGGACAGGAAGGCTAGAGGGGCCTGAATATGGATAATTATCCTTCTACCAGTTTGGATAAGTCTTTGATAAAGTTTTTTCCCTTGTGAACTATGCCTTTGTTATAGAGAACACTCTGGGCATATTTCAAAGTGGATACTTTTTTTTTTCTCAGCTACTGGAAACACAAGCAGATTTTTCTTGGCTCTTCACCATGAGAGCCTAAAGGGGTTACAGGAGGTAGAAATTGTAAACGTGTGTGGGCATCCGTAATACTGGATCACAGCATTTATTTTACTCTCAAGCTTTTCCACACTAATCCTCCAGTAGCTCATGAAAATTAAGTGTTGCTAAAGATTTTGGATACTGTGACTCTTTTTCCAAATAGGCTGCTCTCAGGGGTAATTCTCTGTATTACCCTATCTCTCCAGATTTCAAGATGTCAGTTTTCCCTGTGACTTCAATTATCTGATGGTCCAAGTGAAGTTGTTTACTTACAGTTTGTCTTTTTTTGTATGTTTTTAAGGTCAAGAGTGACCACATAAAAGCTCTTTATATGTTAGAGCTGGAAGGGGAAGTCTAGATGGCTTTTTTTTTAATATACGTCTTTCTTTAATATACAATGAGCTTATAAAGCTTTAATAGCTTTTAAATAGCTATCTTACGTCTGCTGTTATTTTGTTGTACCTTAATGACGTAATGGATTTTTAACTAATAAAATACACATATTAAAAGATATAAAGAGTCACGAGAATTAAAGTCAGTTCTATTTGAATAATATATAAATCCCACTGAGGTTTAGTATTTAAATCACTTTATGAAATTAATCCTACTTAGAACTGAGAAAAACATAATTTTGATGTACAAAACAATAATACTTCAAGTATAATAAAGCTGTTGACTTAATAAATATTTTCTACGTCATGGTAGAAAGTCAATATTTTAAGGAAATAAGCACAATCTGGGAACACTTGGCACAGCTTTGATAAATATATCTAGAGCAGAAAACTATATTTAATATACTCTACAAAAATTTATTCAAGGCATTTCTTAATTTCTAAATAAAATAAAATTTTTGGCCAGGAGTGGTGGCTCATGCCTGTAATCCCTACATTTTGGGAGGCCGAGGCTGGTGGATCACCTGAGGTCAGGAGTTCAAGACCAGCCTGACCAACATGGAGAAACCCCGTCTCTACTAAAAATACAAAATTAGCTGGGCGTGGTGGTGCATGCCTGTAATCCCAGCTACGTGGGAGGCTGAGGCAGGAGAATCACTTGAACCTGGGAGGCGGAGGTTGTGGTGAGCCAAGATTGCACCATTGCACTCCAGCCTGGGCAACGAGAACAAAACTATATCTCAATTAAAAAAAAAATTCACTTTCAGATATTGCTATGTCCTACTTTCTGTGTAGACATGCAGCACACCTGATATTGTATGACATGATAAAATTGCATTGCTCTTGAGCTTTTCTTTCTGTGGGTAGAAAGGAATTTCAATGCTATTTTGGAGGATTTATCATATTTTCTCTGTTTATTCAATAACAATTTGTTCTTTTATCTAGAAAATGAGCAGAAAATTTTTCTTTTCATTAAAAATGAGGTCAACTTTCCTCTCATTGTTTATTCTCAAGAAAGAACACGTCACTGACAGGAAAAGTAATAGAAAGAAATGAATGACATATTGTGTTAGTCCATTCTCGCACTGCTATAAAGAACTGCCAGAGACAGGGCAATTTATAAAGGAAAGAGGTTTAATTGACTCACAGTTCCACATGGCTGAGGAAGCCTCAGGGAACTTAACAATCATGGCAGAAGGCGAAGGGGAAGCAAGACACTTTCTTCAAAATGTGGCCAGAGGGAGAATGAATGCAGGAGAAACTACCAAACACTTAGAAAACCATTAGCTCAAATCTTGTGAGAACTCACTCACTATCATGAGAACAGCATGGGGGAAATCACCCCCATGATTCATTTACCTCTGCCTGGTCTCTCCCTTGATACGTGGGGATTATGGGGATTATGTTGGGAACAGGCCCCCAAATCTGGCCATAGACAGGCCCTAAAACTGGCCATAAACAAAATCTCTGCAGCACTGTGACATGCTCATGATGGCTATGATGTTCACGCTGAAGGTTGTTGGTTTACCAGAATGAGGGCAAGGAACACCTGGCCCACCCAGGGTGGAAAACTGCTAAGGGCATTCCTGAACCACAAACAATAGCATGAGTGATCTGTGCCTTAAGGACATGTTCCTGCTGCAGATAACTAGCCAGAGCCCATCCCCTTCTTTCCCATTTTAATTAATCTATAATGTATAGAAACAATGCTTATCACTCACTTGCTGTCAATAAATATGTGGGTAAAACTGCTCGTGGCTCTCAGCTCTGAAGGCTGTCAGCCCCCTGATTCCCACTCCACACTCTATATTTCTCTGTGTGTGTCTTTAATTCCTCTAGCACTGCTGGGTTAGGATCTCAATGGCTAAGCTGGTCTTGGCAGGATTATAATTCAAAATGAGATTTGGGTGGGGACATAAAGCCTAACCATATCACATGCAAAAGTTAAAATTAGATTCTCACTTACTCTCATACTAAAACTTTAAGATTTGAAACATTAAGCATGAGAAAATCTGTAAAGCTTTTAGGAACCTGCCTGGCACAAAATAAGCACTCAATTAAGGTGAGCTACAATTATTATTTGTGATAATATTATTAATTGGATCAAGCATTATATGGTTTAATTTTATTTAATTATGGTTTAATTATGGTTTAATTTTTTAATTAAAACATCTTTTAATTTAATCTTCAATGCAACAATATATTAAAAGGTGAGACCTTTGAGAGATAATTAGGCCATGAAGGCTACACTCTCATAAATAAATTAATGCTGATGATAAAAGGGCTTGAGGATGTGAGTTCAATCTTTCTGTCTCTCTTCCTCTGTCACCCTCTCAACTTCTGCTGTGGGATGACTTTGGAAGAAGGCCCTCACCAGATGCAATCACTTTGATATTAGACTTAGCTTCCAGAACTGTGTGAAATAAATTTATTTGTAAATAAGCATGTGGTATTCTGTATTAACAACATGAAATTAACCAAGTAAAACCACTTTTCAGAGCATTTTGGCAATATCTCCCCAAATTAGAATATACATCTTTGTTGATGCGGCCATTTCACATCTAGGAATGTTTATTAAGTAAATAAATAATATATTAATTTCTATAAATTATTATTTATTATATATTATAATATAAACACTTTAATCACTATTATTAAATACTGGGGTAAGCAGGATTCTAATGTGCATTTCCACTACATTCTCACTTCATGATCCTTTATATAATTCCTTCCTTTTGAATACATATGAAATCTGTGAATACAATTAAATATCAACCCTATTATTAGGTTCCTAATTAGTTGAGTAGGAATTAATCAAAATAAAGATTATCCTGGTGGGCCTCACCTAATCAATCAAGCCCTTAAAAAGGACTGTGTCTTTTTGAAAAAGAAGAGTGTCAAAGCACAAGAGGGATACTTGTTTATCTTAAATGTGCAAATGCTCAGGATGTGGAGAGGATGATGTGGCAAAAAGTGGCTAGGTCCCTAGAATTGTTTCTGTTTAGTATCCAGTAAAACAATGGAAGGCAAGGCACCACGGATCTTTCCTGTAATTTCAACGCTTTGGGAGGATGAGGTGGGAGGATCACTTGAGTCTGGGAGGTGGAGGTTGCAGTCCCCTGAGATCATACCACTGTACTCTAGCCTGGGTGACAGACCAAGACTGTCTAAAAAAAAAAAAAAGAAAAAGAAAGAAAAAAGAAAGTGGAAATATTAGTGATATGAGTACAGAAAATTAAATTTTTCCAACAATCAATGAAAATAACTCAGTAGAAATGGTAAGAACCTCCAAAATGTCTTTTCTTCTTAAAAACAAATAGAAAACTGGCAACTATTGTCAGAACCAAGTTTTTCAGAATGATAGAAATTACAAAAAAAAATCCTCAGATGTTCTATTAAAAAAAAATTTAATAATATTGATCTTTGTGGTGTTTTAACTTGCCTTGGTCCAATCTCCTGCTCTCTAGCTCTGCAGTTTAACTGAAAACTAACAGCCCATATTTCCAATGAAGACCAGTAGCCAGGCAGAAACCAAAAAATAAAAATGACACTGAAGCTTCTGCAAAACCCCATTCCCAGAGGATAGTCATTAGTTGGTCTCTGTCTTAGTTCCATGGAAGACCTCACTAAGAATATTGTGTGCATTTGACCTAACTTAGAGCTTGCCCAACTTGAGCAGTCTCCTTCCTGGGAGCATTTGTTAACAATTATTGCAGGCAATTGTTTAATTTCATGGACGCCTGAGGTACTAGATAAAAATTGAATCAAGTACACTAACCAAAAGCTTAAAATTAAAAGTTGCAGAATAAGGTGTCTGTAAGTATTTTGGGAAGTTCTGACATATTTCTGGGAAGCTAGAAGGGCACATACATAGAAAGCTATATAAATACCCAGGTCAGTACACATGCTCAGAAGTGACCTGAGAAGGCTTTAAGCTGTCAACTCTGATAGATCCTGAGGCTCTGCATAAACAGGAAGTAAAGACTGAAGCAGAATTGTCATTGCTTGAGTGTTGAAGACATGTTCCAAGAGGCATACAGATTTAAATAATATGAAGTGTATTCTTCATTGAAAATGGAATGAAGGTAGATTTTTTTAAAAAAAAGAAAAATGTAAATTCACCAATTTGTGAAAAATAAACAGCACACTACCAAATAACCAATGAGTCAATGAAAATACAACAGAACTAGAAAATATTTTGAGATGAATTATTCTATGTGGCTAGTATTACATTCCTTGACAACAAAACCAGGAAGTCATAAGAAAATATACTTTATGAATAAAGACACAAAATCCTCAACAATATGCTAGCAAAACAATTTGAGCAGCCTATAAAAATGACTGAACACCACATATTACAGTAGATAGCTAGTCAGGCATGAGCAGAACAGGAGAGAGCCTCCCCAGACACCCCACTAGCAAAGTCAGGTAACCATTAGGTGATGGTCAGGCAGTTGTTAACTGCCTCTCTAAAATAATAATTGGTTGCAGCCAGCAGAAGGGAAAGGCATTTTCCCAATAGGTAAAAACACCTGTAACTATAATCAACAGCTTCCCAGTAAGATCTCAGGAGTTAGGTGAGAGAGGTCAAGCATGCACATTAAGAGGCAAAATGGTGGAGTTTAACTGGTATATAACCTTCTGGGGGCATTCCACTAGCAATGGGAAGAATGCCTCAAGTGAACATGTGTACAACTCCAATAAACACGCTGTGCATGTGGGCAGCCCGCCCCAAGGGAAGAATCCAGGGAAAAGGGACACAAGATTCCTAAAATAGGCCAGCATATAAAACCCTAAGTCCAAGGCCAAACAGGGCATATGTCCTTCAAGTCACCCACTTGGCCCTCTTCCAAGTGCACTTTGCTTCCTTTTTTTCCTTCTCTAGAACTTTTTATTAAACTTTCACTCCTGCTCTAAAACTTGCCTCAGTCTCTCCTTCTGACTTATGCCTCTCAGTTGAATTCTTTCTTCTGAGGAGGCAAGAATTGAGGTTGCTGCAGACCCGTACGGTTTCACTACCAATAAAACACAAGTAAGGGTGATTTATTCCAGGATTGCACTTATGATTCATCATAAGAAAATTAGTCAAAATAATACAACATATTAATAGAAAAAAGGAAAAATTACATTATTATATCTATATATATGAAAATTTCTGACAGAATTAAACACCCATCATTATAAAAGCAAACAAGAAGGTAGAAATAGACAGGATCTTCCTCAATCCAATAAAGGGCATCTATGAAAAATCCATAGTTAACAACATCATACTTACTGGTAAAAGACTAAAAGCTTTCACACTTAAGATGAAGAAAAAGACAAGGATATCAACTCTTTTTTTTTTTTAATTTAAGGCTCTAGTTGAATCATTTAGGCAAAGAAAAAAAGAAATAAATAATATGCATCTAGATTGGAAAGACAGAAGTAACTCAGTCTCTATTCAGATGACATCTCATAAATGAAAAATTATAAAGAATCTACTATTAGAGCTAATAAATAGTTTTGAGAGTCTTCAAAAATCAATCATATTTCTGTACTGTAGCAATTAATTGGAAAACACAATTACAAAAACAATTCTATTAACAATAACATCACAAAGATAAAATACTTAAGAAAAAATTAAACAACTTTAAAACTCTCATATTAAAAACTGCAAAATATCATGAAAAGAATTTAAAGGCTAAATAAAAAGAAAAACATTATTGTGTTAATGGATTAGAAGATGTAATATTATTAAAATGGCAAACACTGTCTAAGGTAATTATAGATTCTATTTGAAGCCTATTAAAATTTTAATAGCATTTTTGCACAAATTGACAAGATAGCCCTAAAATTCATATAGAAATTTAAGGAACTCAACTAGTCCAAACCATTTTATATCAGAAAAACAAATTTGAAGTACTCACATTTTCAATATCAAAACTTACTTCAAAGATACAGAAGTAAAGGCAGTGAGGTGCTGGGACAAGAACATGCATACATATAAATTGAATAAAATTGAGATTTCAGAAATAAATCTAGATTGCTATAGTCAATTGATTTTTAAAAAGTGTGTAAACACAATTCGATTACTATTTTGAACAATTGATGTTGGACTCTTTCAGCATATAAAATTTTACCTCAAAATAGGTCAAAGCAAGAAATGTAAGAAATGAAACTATGAAACATGTATGTAACCCTTTATGATCTTTCGTTTGGCAAAATTTTCTTAGATACGATACTAAACATACAAATAATAAAACAATAAATAGATAACTTGAACTTCATTAAAATAAAGTGTTTTTGTTTTTTTTTTTTTTTTTTTTTTGAGACGGAGTCTCGCTTTGTCGCCCACGATGGAGTGCAGTGGCGCGATGCTGGCTCACTGCAAGCTCTGCCTCCGGGATTCACGCCATTCTCCTGCCTCAGCCTCCAGAGTAGCTGGGACTACAGGCGCCCGCCACCACGCCCGGCTAATTTTTTTTTTTTTTTGTATTTTTAGTAGAGACGGGGTTTCACTGTGTTAGCCAGGATGGTCTCAATCTCCTGACCTCGTGATCCACCTGCCTCAGCCTCCCAAAGTGCTGGAATTACAGACGTGAGCCACTGCGCCCGGCCAATAAAGCCTTTTATGTTTCTAAGGATACTATCAATAAAGTAAAAGAAACCCAAAACCCAAAAATAGAAACTAATCACAGAATGGGAGAAAATATTTGGAAATCATAGATCTGACAAGGAACCTGTATCCAGAATATATGAATACTTTTTAAAAATAAAAAAGAGAAATAACACAATAAAAGCAGACACATAATTTAAATGACACTTTTCCAAGAAGATATAAAAATGTCAGATAAACACATGAAATATTCTCAACATTGTTAGTCATCAGGAAAATGCAAATCAAAACCATTATCAGAATCTACTTTACACACACACTAGATGGCAATAATAATAATAACAAAAATAATAATAGAAAGATAAATGACAAGCACTGGCAAGGATGTATAGGAGGGCACTCATAAATTGTTGATGGCAAGATAAAATGGGAAAGCCACTGTGTAGGGAAATACAGGGTTTCAGTTTCTCAAAAGGTTTTGCATATGGTTACCGTATGACACAGCAATTTTACTTTTTGTTATATATCTAAGAGAATTGCAAACATATGTCTACAACAAAACTCATACATTAATGTTTATAGCAGCATTATTCACAATATTCAAAAAATGGAGAAAACACAAATTTCCATAGATGAATGAATAAACAAAATATGGCATATAATGAAATGCATTCAGTCATTAAAAGGAGTTAGGTGCAGATACATCTACAACTCAGACAAACCTTGAAACATGATGTTATGGGGTAAAAATGAGACATAAAAGGCGACTGTGATATTATTACATATGTATATTTGTTTTAATCCATGGTTTGTAGCTCATAACTCCCCTCCCATAGCCCCTGCTATAATTGTTGTATTGCTTTAGCCCTCACAAGCAGGCCTCAGAAAACAGAATCTCTTTCTTTTTGTTCTTATCCTGCCCTTTTTTCATCTGCTACTTTTTCTTCCCAAGGCAGAAATTTTCCTCTGCCTTTCTGTCTTGGAGGTGGGCATAAAGAAATTCTCCAGCCCACCTTGTCTAATTGTAAGTCATATGACTCTCATTTCAGAAGAGGTCTTGTCCCAAACCCTAGATGAAAAAACGATGCACAGAGAGGACAAGAGGAATCAGAATAGACAGATATTGTGACTTCTTCCCACTCAGCCTGTTAGTATTAGATTATACCCTTTTTGTCCAATCACATTTCTACACAGTTGTTTATGCTTTAATCATGCCTTTCCAATGAAGTCCCCATAAAGGCCTAAAAGAATGAGGTATGGAGAGCTTCCAAATAGCTAAACACATATGGAGGTTCATTTTTGAGTGGACTAAGGATTTGAAGCAAGAATGGGTACCAGAGGAGATTACATTTTATTGCTCTGGGAAGACAGAGAGTGTTAATGAGGGGGGAAATATTGTAGCATGTTACAAAGCAATATAAACAGTGTGATTACATTTTGATTAAAAATGCATAGATATGTATAAAAGGAAATATATATGTCAATAGATAAGCAGATACCCACTAAAGTATTATTATTTGTGATCTCTGGGTTGTGGGAATATAATGTTTTACTTTTCTTACTTCAAAAAGTGTTTCCAACTGTATATAGATTTTTCTATAGTTTATATACTGCTTTTGTTACTTTTTTAAAAATACCAGAATGACTGCCATCTTAACAAAAAAACACAAAACTCCAAGCTTGGAAGAGAATCTCAAGTTCCAGGTGAGATCGCAGACTTGACTGGTACCTTGATTTTAGCTTTTTTTTAGGGCTTGTGGGAAAGAATTGACTAATCCGTATCTGAAATTCTGATCTACAGAAAATTTAAGACAATAAATGTGTGTTGTTTTAAGCTGCTGAATTTCTGAGATTTTTTTACACAATAGAAAACTAATACATATACATTTTGGTATTACCATACAATGGAATGGTATGTGACTGTTAAAGAGAATGGGGTAAATATAGCTGTAATGATCAAAAAGAAATTAAAGATACATTATTATGTTAAAAAGATAAAAAAGATGTGAAACATATTTTTAAACATTCTCATTTAAATTTAAAAGGGATATATATCTGTATACACACACATACCTGTCAGCTGTGATTTGTAAAACCCTTCACTTCAATTAACTTGAAGAATAAAGTAATTTACTATATCACATGACAAGGAGTACAGACGGTGTGTAGTTTTCAATTTAATTGAGTCAGTGATTTGATATTGTCATCTAGAGCTCAGGTTCTTTCTGTTTCTCCACTACTTTCTATAGAATTGGCTTTATTCTAATAATAATGTTAATAGTAACTAGTATTTAGTACGAGTTGGGCACTTTACTAAATTACATTTATTTACACATGTTGTTCTTTTTCACTGCAATGTAACTACCATTATTATCCTTACATTGTATAACAAAAACTACTGAAGTTCAGAGAAGCTATATAATCTGCCAAAGTCACACAGCAGCATAGTAATCAAACCCACAAAGTCCAGCTCCAGAGACAATTCACTTTCCATCTTCCCCAAGGTTGGTTCCTCATATGGTCAAAAATGGTTATCAGTAGTAAATATAGCATCATGCTTTCTTATTCAAATTTATTACTGTAGAAGACAAGTTTTTCTTGTGACCAAATATTAAAAGCATCTTCTTTTAGTGGTAGATGCTAGAGTTACTCACAGCCTTTGCTTTTTATTTATTCTTTACCTTAGGATCTTTAGACCACTTTCCTGTTGAGTTACATATTTTTTCTCGAGCATGACAAAGGATGAAAGTATTGTGAGTGTAAAAGATTGTACTAGTCTATTGAAAGTTCCTTAGCATTTCAGTGAAGCATTATGAACAGCAAAATGTTGGAAATTGAGGATAAATAGAATTTAATATTTTTGAAGGGTTTTACTTGACCATAGAAAGGAATTTTAGGCAAGGTAAAGTGTGATGGTAAAATAGTTAACATTTATGGAGCTATCAATATGTTCTAGGCAAAATTATAAATGCTTTCTTTAAAATTTATAAATTAATATTCACAATAATCCAGTGAGGTTGATACTATTATTATACTCATTTTTAAAATTAGCAGTAAATATAAGGTATAAAAATTGCTAAAGGCTGCATGATTAGTAAATTGCAGATCTAAGATTTAAACTTGAGAGTCCCTGCTCTTAAACACTTTGCTGTATTAATGAGTATTTCAAATTTGCAGTTAAAGGTGGCAGAGAGATGAGAGAAAACAGAGATTTTTCAGTGAAGATTGCTTAAAATAATTTAATTTGATATGCTGTGTATTGCAATGACTTTTTGGATAGACACACTGCACTTAAAACTAGTTTATACTTGATATTAAAAAATATTATTTTGATATAAAAGTAGCCTTTGTCAATAAACATTAAAGTAATATAAAATACTAAAAATTGCTATCAATTTAATCACTTTTTGTTTCTTTAACCAGTTATTTCTTTAAAAAATATAAAAATGTGTATACTCTACACATTTTACTAATAATGTAACAAATGTGACAAATTAGCAAATATATTTATATCGGTTAGTACATTTAATTGTCATAATAATTCAGATAGGAACTGAAGATAATTATCATGGCTATTTTGCTAACGGCTTATTACTAAGTCAGAAGGAATAAATGATTGCTCAAGATCACATAGCACACTGGTAGATGCAGCAATAGAATCTGTACCTTGTAATTTCCACTCTACTTTCCTGAAACATATTGCTTTCCAATGCATACTCATGTACACAGACATACATAGCAGAGCAAGGGGCAGTAAAACATTTCTGTTAATTCTTTCCATTGAGAGAGATTAGCTATGGAACTTGGCACTTGCCACCCTTGTGCCCCACCAAGGACTTCTACTGAAAGCTGATAGGGGGGCCCTTTGGGAGGCAGGGATCCCAACCAGACCACCCGGACCTTGTGTGCCACGCCAGATTTCCATTAGCAGACACAGCAGCCAGTTTTTACAAATACTTTACTGTAATTCTGATGAATATATAAGTTAAACATTAAAGAACTGGAGCAACTAATGCAAGTACAAGGGGTAGAATGTAAAACAAACTCATTAAAATCCTACCTGGATTTTCTTAAACTCGTCCATTCAGGAAGAAATCTAATAAACTTTCCTACTTGCAGACCCCTAGTTAAGATTAGATTGATTAAGAAACACTCCTGCAGGCAAGCAAAAAGCTTCAATTATATATATAAGCTAAAATAAATTGCAACTGTGAGTTGGTCTGGTTAGTTACTCCGACCTTCTCCCTGTAACCAGTTGCAGAAATAAATCTTCTTTCCCAATCTGTCTGCATCCCGTTATTGGACTATGAGAACAAGCAGCCAGACCTCATGGATCCAGGAACATTTGCGTCATCAATATTGCTTAAAGTGCCATACTCACTGATTGCAAGGCCTTGAGGAAACTACAATGTGCAGCTCTCACCATAAATTTTACTCAAGGAAGTGAAGCAGAAGTTAAAAAGGGAAAAAACAAGTTTTCCTGTGCTTGGCTGACTCACTCCAAGGCCAGCAATAGGCAGGGCCCTGGCAGAGCCTAGATAACACTATCTGTAAAGCCAGAGCCCAAAGGAATGAGGTCCAGAGACACTCTGAACAAGACCCCCTCCCCGGAGCGAGGATAAGAAAAGAAAATAACAAATTCCTTTCTCATAACTATTTCTAAAAACACCAGTGTTTTACAAGTTTTGTAAGTTCCTGTTTTCCCTGCAGTGCAGCTGCAAGGTCACAAGCTGTGCTTGGGTTGCGAGACCTGTCACAACTTAATTAACTGCCTTTGTTTTGCTTCTGTAAGCCCGCTTGCCTGCCACACAGGTTTTGTGCCATCAAATTCCTGCTGCACCATTCAAACTAGCCAACCCCCTTTCAGAAGTGTGTATAAAAGTCAAGCCCTGTCTTTATCTGGGGCTCAGCCTTTGGATGTTAATCTGCTGAGTCAGTGGCCACCTAATAAAATCCTCCTGTTCCACCCATTGGTCTATCCAGTCTCCCGATTCCTGCAACAGAAGTTAACTCTATTTCCTGCTTGTGCATAAGGCCAGTAAAATAACTAATCCTTAACCTTACCTTAATTAAAAAATCACACCCAAGTTTAGAGATTTAACATGCTAATAAGACATGCGATACATGAAGAAGCATGCTAACAAACTGCAGGTGTTAAAAGATCCCCACATCTATATGCCTAAATATCACTCCTTTCCCACTGTAGCCCCTTTAAAACTTTCTTTCCAAATCCCTCTGAGGAGTCAGCCAGATAATTCTCTCTCTCTCTTATGCTGCCTCACTTTTGCCTGGGCATAAGCTCTGTAATGGTTAATATTAGGTGTCAACTTGATTGCATTAAAGGATGGCTAGATGGCTGATAAAGTATTATTTCTGGGTGTGTCTATGAGAATGTTGCCAGAGGAGATTGACATTTGAGTCAGTGAACTGAGGGAGGAAGACCCACCCACAATTTGGGTGGCCACCATCCAATCTGTTACCAGGGCAGCAAAAACAAAGCAGGTGGTAGATGGGATAAACTTGCTTCCTGAGACTCTTTCTCCATTGCTGGATATCCCTTCCACTCCTCCTGCCCTTCGATATCAGACGTCTTCGATATCTTTGGCCTTTGGACTCTTGGACTTACAACAGTGGTTTGCCAGTGGCTCTCAAGCCTTTGGCCACAGACCGAAGGTTGCACTGTCAACTTCCCTGCTTTTGAAGATTTCAGACTTGTACTGAGCCACTGCTGGCTGCCTTCTTCCCTAGCTTGCAGACAGCCTATTGTAGAACTTTGCCTTGTGAGGGTGTGAGCCAAGTCTCCCTAATAAACTTCCTTTCATAAATATATAATTAGGGAGACTTGGCTCACACCCTCATAAGGCAAAGTCCTACAATTTTATATATTTTATATAAATATATAACATTTATATAATTTTATATATTTATATAATATTCTATATAGTATTTATATATAATATAATATATATTTATATATAAATTATATACAAAATATATATAATATATATTTTTATATACTTTGTATATAATATATATACACGCTATATGTATAAAAAATAATATATATTTTGTATATAATATATAAATGTATATAAATATAAAATATGATACATAATATATATTATATATAAAATAAAATACATAATATATATTATGTATAAAATAAAATATATAATATATATTACAAAATAAAATATATACTATATAAAATATAAAATATATTATATATAAAATATAATATAAAACATATTATATATAAAATATAATATAAAACATATTATATAATATAATATATTCTATTTGAATGTATTATATTTTTATATATAATATATTATATATACAATATTATATTTTTATATATAATTTATATAATATATTATTATCATATATTATATATATTATGATATATAATATATGATAATAATATATTATATTTATATATAATATATTATATATAAATAATATATTATTTATATATATATATAAATAAATATATTATTTATATATAATATATTATATATGTAAACATAATATATTATATTTATATATAATATATTACATTTATTATATATTTATATATATTTATATTTATATAATATATAATATATTATACTTATAATATATTATATAACATATATAATATATTATACTTATAATATGTTACATAACGTATATAATATATTATATATAATATATTATATAACATATGTATTATATTCATAATATATTCTATAATATATCGAATATATTATATTTATAATATATTCTATAATATATAGAATATATTATATTTACAATAGGTTACATAATATATGGAATATATTATATTTATAATATATTATATAATATATGGAATATATTATATTCATAATATATTATATAATATATATTTTATTTATAATATATTAATATAATATTTAATATATATTTATAATATATTTATATAATATAATATATTATATTTATAATATATCATATAATATATACATATATTTTTATATATTATGTATAAAAATATGCATATATGTATATTTTTGTGTATTTATATATGTATATATATTTATATACATATATATTTTTATATATATTCATATACATATATAGATATACATATATATTTATGTATTGATATACATATATATTTATATATATTGATATACATATATATTTATATATAGATATACATATGTATTTATATATAGATATACATAGATTTATATATAGATATACATACATTTATATATTGATATACGTATATTTATATATATTGTTATACATATATATGTATATTTATATATAACTGTATATATGTATACATATACATGTATATATGTATACATATATACATACACACATGTATATATGTATACATACATATATACATACATACGTGTATATATGTATATATAAATATATATTTATGTATATTAATATATATAATATAAGAATGTACAAATATTTATATAATATATAATTTACAATATGTATATATCTTATTAGCTTCATCCCTCTGGAAAACCCTGACTAATACAAGCTCCAATAAAGCTTTATCTGGGAAAACTCTTTTGGCCTCATGTCAATTTATATTGCATTGAGAACCCAAGAACCCATGGTCAGTAACACCATGATCTAGTTTGTGAATCTTCACAAAAATTTGAACAAAATGAGAAACTAAACTGAGCTTTTGATCACCTGGAACATTGATTTGGTATTAAATATTCCTTGGCCAGGGCCAGTGGCTCACACCTGTAATCCCATCACTTTGGAAGGCGGAGGCGGGTAGATCACTCGAGGTCAGGAGTTCGAGCCTGGTCAACATGGTGAAACCCCATCTCTACTAAAAATACGAATATTCGCTGGGCATAGTGGTGCACGTTTGTAATCTCAGCTACTTGAGAGGCTGAGGCATGAGTATCCCTTGACCTTGGGAGGCAGAGGTTGTAGTTAGCTGAGATCATGCCACTGCACTCCAGCCTAGGCAACAGAGCAAGTCTCTGTCTCAAACAAACAAAAACAAAACAAAAACAAAAACAAACAAACAAACAAAAAAATTCCTGGAGGGCTAGTGATACCAAGTGCAGAATGCTAGTAATACCATAGTAATACCAAGTGCAGAAGAGAATTTAAACACTCATTGGTAACATATGACAATTCTGAACCTCAAAATAGTTTACAAACAATTTTCAAAATAAAATTGTTAAAACACAATGTAAAATAGGCATTTGAGAAGAGAAGCAAAATGAACAAAACCCAGAAGTATATCGATTACGCAAATTCCTATGGGGTCTATGTATGTTCTGTAACTATAGTAAGTTCTGAACTCAATATGCTGAGACACTAGGCTGCAGCAGATAAAGAGGTTTGATCATAAAGTCACTGAAAAAGGAGATGGGAGAAAACATCAAACCTATCTTCTCCAGGAATTTGAAGTTAAGATTCTTAAGAATTTTGGAGTAGTCCAAAGTGTGGAGATTATTGATTGGTCAATGAGTGCAGAGTGAAGTGATGGTACAGGGAGATAAAGTTGCATTTTCATGCTGATGTCATTCCTCTGTGGAGGTCTTTAAACTAGTTGCTGGAATCCAGGATCTGAAAAAACATATTAAGTGATCCTTAAAAAAAAAAAAGCCTTGTGATTCTAATGTCAGAGATCCTGTCTATAGGAACAATGGGAATGCAAATGGTGAGACTTCTAGCAACAAGAAAGTGAGTCAAAATGTAGCCGAACTAAAGCTTAATTAGAACTTTATTTCTGAACAGAACCTAGCAGGCAATTCTTGTCAACGCTATGTGGCTGGTTTCAGTCACAAAATGCAACTTTAAAATAAACATGTTTACAGTGGTCAAGGAGTAAAATGAAAAAAAAAGTTTCTATGTGGACAAGGTTGGAACTTCACTACGAAGGAACAAGAAAACTTACTGGTACAATGGAAATGTCTGTATTTTTAAATATTCATGCATGGATTTATGAAAAGAAAATAAATCTTGGGACCCCAAACTCATTAAACCAGAAGGAAAAGTTAAGCTGGAAACTGGGTCACACAAACCTGCCTACCTCTTTTGGTTCCTAAATAAGACGGCTGCAAGATGAAAAGCTACGTGCCTCCCCCATATTTTTGCTCACAAGGAAATTCTCAGTGAGCTCCCAGATCTTTAAGGTGTTTCTGTTGAAATTTCACCATGGCAATGTAAATTAATAGCTTATCTTTACAGTTGAATTCACCCCCGCCTCCACCTGACACAAATATGTATCTGATTATTCCCCTGCAACATTTTGTGTATGTTATCGTATGTAAAAATGCAGATTCCGTGCATTTTTCCTCTGCCCCATTTATCTATGTCATCTTACGTAAAAAAAAAAAAAAAATGCAGATTAACTGAGCCAGACAAAGGCATGAATTACTATTTTTTCTACTCCCCGCCCCCACCACCTTAAGTGAAAATTGTTTCTTTCTTAATATCCCGCCCTTTCCCCTTTAAATTTGGATCCCTCAAAATTGTCTTCAGGGAAAGGCATAGACTTGTCTCCTGGGCACGTGTCCTTAACTTTGACAAAGAAACTGTAAAATGATTGATAGTTGTCTTGTGAGAGGAGAGAGAGAGAAATCAACTAGATAGTTAGGGCAAGGGTCCCCGGTGGAATTCCCTTCTAACAAAAAGCAGAGTGTCTTCTAACAAAGAGCAGCCCAAGAGGTCATTTCTCCTTCATGAAAGAGCAGCCTAAGCGATAAGGCGGCAAACGCAGATAATGAAGGCAAGCTCTAACACAGAAAGGGGCCTCCTGTGTGACATACAAAGATACAGTGGGTCCCAGGTAACACAGTCCTCCCTTCTTGGAAATACTCAGACAGGCAGGCTTGTGCAGGGGGAGCGCCTGACGCAGCACTGATAAGAGCTACTCTGAACCAGGCACGTCCACCTTAGAGGGTTCTGTTCTCCGCCTTTTTACACATGTGCAGCAGGAAGCGATAAACAACATGGAGTAACTCAAACTAAGAAGCCCGCATGTGCACTAGAAAGGGTGGGGCGGGAACTCAGAAATTTGCGCCTCAACCAAATGAAGCATGGCTCCCCTCCAGCTTTTCTATAAAAACCCTCGCATTTCACTGTAATACGGCAACCCATCTTTCTGGGAACCCTCTCTGCTCTAGAGAGCTTTCCTTCTTTCACTTATTTAACTACTGCTCTAACCTCACCTTTGGAGTATCCGAGTCCTTGATTTCGTTGGCCGTGACATCAACAACTTCGGGTGGCACCTCAGACAATGAGGCTGGTTTCAGTCTCATCATTTTTCTCGATTGACAGATTATAACTAATTGAATGATACATTTTTTTCAGTCGTAGTAAAATTTTTCTGCAGTTTATATACTGTGGCCTCCTAAATGTTCACTGAAAATCACTGACATGAGGCAGGTTGATTAATCAGAGAAAACACATACATGTTTATGTGTAATAATGAGTCTACTATATGGGAGTCTTCAGAATGAAGACCCAACCCTCTAATAGGGTACAGAGGCTTATATACCATCTTGAGGTTACAGAAAGAATATGGGCATACAGCATGGCCAAAAACAGGTTTTAGTGCCAAGACAGGTTATTGGAAGGAGAAAGGAAGAGGCTTGACTAGCAAAAGCAATCTTGTTATGTAGATGAAACCTCACAGGTAGCAGGTTTCAGAGAAAATAGGTGGTAAATATTTCTTTTCAGACCTATAAAGGTGTTAGATTCTCATTTAATCTTTCCTAGATCTGGACAAGGGAAGCATTGACTGCATTAATGAATCAACAGATCTACAGATGCAAATTTCCCCCATGAAAAACAACATGGCAGGGCCACTTCAGAATATGTGAAATAAATATATTTTAGGCTAAAATATTTTTGTTTACTTTAACTGCTTTTGCTGATTAAAAAAAAAACTTTTAATTACTGTGCATTTAAACAAATACAAAACTCTGAGCTTGGAAGAGCACCTTAATCTGATCTGAAGAGGATGATACTAAGCTTTGACTGGAACATTGATTTCAGCTTTTTGAAACCCTGAGGAGAGAAACTGGCCAATACCTACCTGGACTTCTAACCTCCAGAAAATTTGATATAATAGATCTTTTTTTGTTTTTTAAACTTCTACGTTTGTGAGATTTTCTAACAAAATAATAGAAAACTAATACAAATACATTTTGGTACTACCATACAATAAAATGATCATTTCATTCCAATGGATTTGTGCATTTCATCACACATAGCATTGTCCTTAAGTGAAAATAAAATGAATCACTAAAAAATTATTGAGCTAAATTTAATCATAAGCATGCTGAAATACTTGGGGAGAAATGTAGTGATGTCTTTAACTTATTTTAAAATGAATGACAAGGTAGATTGATGAGTGGCTACAGTGGTGACAAGATGAATAGTTACATGACTAAATATTTTGTAAAATATTAACTGTTGAATGTAGGTGGTGCGTTAAAAATATTCATAGTCTGTATGTTTAAAAATATTAATTTTTTTAATTAAAAAAATTCCTTATCTTTTTTTCTGAGACAGGATCTCACTCTGTCACCCAGGCTGGAGTGCAGTGAAACAATCAGCCTCTACCTCCCCTCGCTCAGGTGATCCTCCTACCTCAGCCTCCAAAGTAGCATGAGCCACCATGCCTGGCAAATTTCTTTGTATTTTTTGTAGAAACAGGTTTTTGTCATGTTGTTCAGGCTTGTCTCAAACTCCTAGGCTCAAGCAATCCATCCACCTTGGCCTCCTGAACTGCTGAAATTACAGGCATGTGCCACCACATCCAGCCAATATTTCTTAATAAAATTTCAAAAAAAGAAAATATATATATATCTCAATATAATTTATCATATTAAAAGTTCATCACTTTAATCTCACAGATGCAGAGAAATGTTATAATAAAATTCACATCCATTCATAATAAAAACACAGCAAAAGAGGAATCCAGGGAAAGTATTAATTTTCTTTAAAATATGTACAAATAATGTTTTGTGAAATAATTTGCTTTTTAATGAAATATTAAAAGCTTTTCCACTAAGGCCAAGAATAAGACAAAGACACCTGATATAACTAGTTTTATTTATCATTTTACTTAGAAAGTATAGCCAGGCCAGTCATTTAATATAGAGAAAAAATATATATAATTCTTTTTTTTCTTTTTTTTTGAGATGAAGTCTCGCTCTTGTTCCCCAGGCTGGAGTGCAATGGTGCAATCTCAGCTCACTACAACCTCTGCTTGCCGGGTTCAAGCGATTCTCCTGCCTCAGCCTCCCCAGTAGCTGGGATTACAGGCGCCTGCCGCCACGCCTGGCTAATTTTTGTATCTTTAGTAGAGACGGGGTTTCACCATGTTGGCCAGGCTGGTCTCGAACTCCTGACCTCAGGTGATCTACCCGCCTTGGCCTCCCAATGTGCTGGGATTACAGGCGTGAGCCACCGCACCTAGCCAAATTCTTAAAAACAAAGAAAAAGCATTATTTAAAGATGACATCTTTTTGTTTTGGTTTGTTTTTGTAAAAAGGTCTTACTCTGTAGCCCAGGCTGGAATACAGTGGTGTGATCATGGCTCACTGCAACCTCAACCTCCTAGGCTCAAGTGATGATTTTATCTCAGCCTCCCAAGTGGTTGGAACTGTAGGCTCATGCCACCACACCCAGCTAATTTTTAACTCTTTGTAGAGATGAGATTTTTCTATGTTGCCTAGGCTGGTCTTGAACTCCTGGGCTCAAGAGATCCTTCCACCTTGGCGTCCCAAAGTGCTGGGATTACAGGTATGAACCACCATGCCTGGCCTGAAGATGGTATGGTTTTATACATTTAAAAAAACCCAAAGTTAATGTTTTAGAATCAATAATCTAGTTAATATTCATCTTTGCTATAAGGCCAATATACAACAATCATTTATGTGTACATACCCCCAGCAAACAATAAGAAAATGAAACTCTAAAATAAATCATTACAATGGCATCGAAATTTCAAACAATTGGGATAAACTAATGAGCTGTAGAAGACCACCAAAGAGTAAAGTTTTTTTGTTGTTGTTGTTTTGTTTTGTTTTGTTTTGTTTTTGAAACGGAGTCTTGCACCCCAGGCTGGAGTGCAGTGGTGCGATCTCGGCTCACTGCAAGCTCCGCCTCCCATGTTCACGCCATTCTCCTGCCTCGGCCTCCCACGTACCTGGGACTGCAGGCGCCCACCACCGCACCCGGCTAATTTTTGTATTTTTAGTAGAGACAGGCTTTCACCCTGTTAGCCAGGATGGTCTCGATCTCCTGACCTCGTGATCCATCCTCCTCAGCCTCCCAAAGTGCTGGGATTAAAGGCATGAGTCACTGTGCCCAGCCACCATAGAGTAAAGTTTTAATGGTCATTGAAAAAATTAAGAAAGACATAAATAAACGGGGGAATATACCATGTCTATGGAATAGAAGACTAACTACTGAAAAGAATTATGTTATTCATAAAATAATTAAGACATTCAGTGTATTCTTTATCAGAATTCTTTGGTTGATTTTAATGGAATCCTGTCAACTACATCTAAAAGTTATATGGAAATGTAGAGGGCTAAAAATATTTAAGATACTCTTAAAAAGAATTACATGGTGGGGTGAATATTACTACTAGATATCATGATCGAAATCCACAGAAATCAAGAAAGTGTAGTCTTGGTGCAAGTATTGACAAATGGACTGATGGAACCAATAACACATATGGATATTTATGACAGAGGTGACATTTCATGGAAGTGAAAAAAGAGCAGTATTTTCAATAAATAGTGTTAAGGTGGTTGAATATAATTGTATAATTATAAAGAACAAGAAAAACCTGGCCTTATTATATCAAACTACACACTAAAATTAATTTAAGATATATTGTAGATCTAAATGTAAAAATCAAAAATTAAAGTTTCTAGAAGATAATATAATATTTAAATAATCTTGGAGTAAGTAAGACTGCTTAAACAATACATATTATAAACTAATCGTAAAGAAAATGGTTGGTGTAATGTCTTACCATAAATTAAGAAAAGCAATTCATTAGAAAGTATCATTAAGATAGTGAAAATGATGTCAGAGGGTGGAACAAGATATCTGCAACACAAATAATGGAATAGAGGGTTTAGGAATGTTTGCGGGACAATTACCAAGAAGAAAGACAAGCCAGTAGTCAAAAAAATAAGTACCTAGCATAGGTGTTTACAAAAGAAACCATCTGTGTTGTTCAGAATCTCTCCAGAGAAATAAAGCCATACATATATATGATTCTCTTTCTCTTTTTTTCAAAGAGATTTTAAGGATTGGCTCACATAATTGTGGGAGCTGGCAAGTTCAAAATCTGCAGAGTAGGCCAGCAGGCTGTACACTCAGGGAATAGTTGATGAGTTGATGTCGCAATTCAAGTCCAAAGGCAGTTTCTAGCAGAATTCCATCTTTTGTCTGGGGCAGGTTAATATTTTTTTTTTATTAACACCTTCCACTGATTGTATGAAGCTCCCCTACATTATGGAGAGTAATCTGATTTACTCAAAGACTACTGTTTTAAATGTTAATCTCATCTGAAAAATATCTTCACAGAAACATCTTAAAAAATCATTTCACCAAGTATCTAAATATCATGGCCCAGTTAGTTGGCAATTAAGATTAGTGTTTATACTCTAAGTAATCAAAGAAAATGTGCTTTATGCTATAAATAATAAGGGAAAAAGCTAACTTAAACCACAATAAGATATTAAAACATGTACCACAATAACTAAAACTTCAAAATTTGCTGTTTGAGGATAAAGCAGGATTGCAAACAGGTAAAATTTTTGGAAAACTGTCTCATATTATGGACTGAAAGTAAAATTGTATGTTATCTATATACTAGAAATCCCAATAGTGAGATTTCTAGTATATAGATAATATACAATTTCTAAAGTATGTGTACCAAGATCCATGTACAAAAATGTTGAAAACACCATTATTTCTAATATTCCAAAAGTAGAAATGACCCAAATACCCATCATCAATAGAGGGGATAGACAAGTTGTATATTTCTACAATGGAGAGTTACAAAAAAAATTAAAATAACAGAATAATAGTTAATGCAGCAGCATATTTAAATATTAACAACATGAATTTATGCAAAATAATCTAGTCATAAAACATATATGCATGATTGAATTTATTTATATAAATTTCAAGTGACAGCCCAAACTAAAACTAAACTATTTTATTAAGCAGTACATGCTTACATTGTAAAATTATAAAGAAAAATAACAAAGTGGTTACTATACAAGTGAGTATAGTAGTTATTTTTGTGCATATGGGAAGGCAGGAATAAATGAGATTCTGTGGAGTCAGCAATGTTTTATATTTGACTTGGTTGATTTTTACACAGGTGATTTTAATTTGTAATAAAATCAAATGAATGTCATTCATTTTTTCTTTCTTTTCTACTTTTTCTCTTTCATTACCTTCTCCAGCTAAATGCTCCAGTCACTGAGCTATAATTTACATGCACTGTCCTGTGTCTAGATACTCTCCAGATTATTCAGATGGCTTCAGTTTCTAAGTAAGTTACAGTCATATTTTTCTAGGCCAGCAGTAATTCCTGAAATGTTTCTCATTGAGAAATATGCTTTAAGCACATTGTCAATCTGCCTCCTCTTTTTTCTTCATGCACAGACTCATAACCATCTCTGAAGTAAGTTATCAAAAGAAATTTGACACCTGATACCCTGCCTACTTTATGCTATAATAGATTACCAGAATGTGACACAAGACCAAGTGGCCCAAGGGTCCTGTCTTGGTAATTAGACAGTGCTGTATACCAGATACAGTAAATTCATAGATATTTCAAAACATTCAAACAAGAACTTTAAGAGTTTGTCCTCATAGTCTCATTTATTTTGTTCAATATACTTGTAGATTCTCAACTCTCTTTACTGAGTTTCACCATATGTCATATTGCCTCTTATTTATATTTACAAATAAGATTTTAGAATTGATAGCTTCCTGTGAACTGACTTTTCATCATTTTTAAGAAAGTTTTTGAATTTAGAATGTGCAAAATGTGCAATAAAAACTTCTATCTCTTGTTAGGTGAGGTCATATTTTTCTCATATTCCATCTGTGAGCTTAAAGAATGCATTTCCTGTCTTGCTCTTTTAGAGACATCAAAGTATATTATATTTGGAAAGTTCTGGTAGTAATTTAGAGAATCACTAATTGTACAGAAAAGCTAAAGCTGACAGCAGGAATAAAAGTGTAATAAAAAAATCTGTGGTAGTATAGGCAATGATGAGAAGAAGGCCTCAAGCTGTGAATAAAAAATAAGGAATATTTTTATAATCTACAAGCTTAAAATTTCCAAGAATACAACACCTACATTATAGTTATTTTTGTAAGGCTTTTGGAAAGTACATTCAAGGATTAGAGAATTTTGGATCAAATGTCTTCTTATTAGTTGAGTTGTGGGCATATCACTCAGAATAAAAATTTTCTTCTCTATAAAATGAGGATCAGTAACACCTATAACTTTGTAGTATTGTGTGGATTATTGGAAGAACATAGGGAAAATGTTTAGCACAGTGCTTAGCACTTAGTAAATGGTTAATACATTTTTTCTGTCTTTATTATAACTCTGAATTAGGACAAATTATATTTATAATGGCCACAGCATACTTTTTGATAAAAATGCAGGAGCCTGCATTTGAAAATTATTGTAAATTTTAGTTATCCTTGTACTTGTTATGTAAGATAATAAAGCACTAAGAATTAATGCTTGTTTGGGAAGAGAAATAATTATTATAGTCAATGTTTCCAGATTCCCAATCGATCTTTGAGATTTAGAAACGGAATATCAGAATTCCCAAGAATTCTTTGAAATTCTCAAAAGCAGGGGTTACTATGCATTTTTAATAAGAGTTTATTTACGTAATTTTGAATAATAAGTGATCCTAATAGCAGTGAATCATTTTTTCTAAATAAATTATGCTTAAAGTTCCAAATGTATTTTTCATTAAAAAATATAATAGTAAATGCATAATTTATTATCATGAGCTAGTATATTATGATAAAATTATATACTTCAATACATGTAAAAATGACTTTCTGATATTGACATGATAATGTTCCCTTTCAATATTTTTATAACACAAAATAAATTACAAGTAAAAAATAATTCAAAATTTGAAATATCAAAACAAAATTATTCAATATTTTAAATCTATTTTTAAAATAAATTATTAAGATACACAAAGCATATATATTACTCTATTGCTCTGTTTGATAGTCTTGATCTTTGTTTCATGCAAGTATTTCAGACAAAATTTTATTTTATTTTTCATTTACATTGGTTGAAATGCTAAGAATGTAGGCAAAAACATCTTCAAATTGGTCATTAAGGTACATGTGCTTCAGATACACACATTTCCTTGTAAATAATAAAATATTTTGTCTGCTTATAACAATTTTTGTTTTGCAGTTGACATCACATGGCTTATGTTAATTCAGATTTTAGATTGATTTCTAATCTTATTACGCAGTATTTTACAGCAGCACTCATACCTTCTTTTTGCATTGCTTCTGTTAAAATATGTACATATAACTCTGGCCTATTAAAATTATTTAAATACTGAAAAACACCAGTAAATATTATTGAGTAATATTAAAATAACTGAGAATTCAGATTTCCTAGCATGGTTAACAGCACTACACAGAATCATGTGTCAAAATTGCTACTTTGCTTCTAAAACTTGTTATTTCTTGGAACTCCACTCACAGGATTTTTATGAAGTATATCATGCACATGTATTTATTTTATTTGCAAAAATCACTTGCTGTTAGCAGCAAAGCAACAGATGCACATTTATCGCAGGACAACAGCTACCTGAAAAATGACTTAGATTGCTCATGTGTCACTCCCGTGTGTTCCTGTATTTCTAGAAATGTGGAATTCAACATGGATTCACCAAGTCAGTGTTGCCTTCTTTTATTTTTGACTTGATGTTACAGGATTTCTTAGTACTTAGTACTAGTTAACATTTCTGTGTTAATTTTTATGCTTTATCTCTAACAGGAAGTTTATGATACTTTTCTCCATTTTTCCAATTTCTCAACCAATTTTTCTAGAGATTCAGAATTTGGAAAACCATGTACCTAAAGAAAGGCTTAGAGGGGATTTGTGCCTGCAAACACCAATTTTGTTGGACAATGAAGGCAAGCATGGATTTTCTTTTTCATTTAATATGACCCCCAAGAAATAACATTACTATTATATATTTGAGTAAATCAAAAATTTAAATGCATATCGCTTGGCTTGCCAGTTCAGTTGGCCAATAGAACTATATATATATTCTACATATATGTTACATATAATGTAAATATATTAATTACATATATTATATATATTATGCAAACATATTTATTATGTATCTTTTATATAATATAAATATATACAATTTAAATATATATGTAAAATATATTAGCAATATAGTATAATATATATTACATATATGTATATATACTATAGTATAATATATATTACATAATATGTATGTAAAATATATTAGTAATATAGTATAATATATATTACATAATGTAATATATATACATGCAATATATGTATATAATATATATAATACATATACGTAACATATATGTATATAATGTATATAATACATATATGTATATTATATATAATACATATATATGTAACATATATTATATAATATATGTAAAATATATATATACTTCTTGAAATGCTAAGAATATAGGCAAAAACATTCAAATTGGTCATTAGGGTACATGTTGCTTCAGATACACACATTACCTTGTAAATGATAAAGTATTTTGTCT
Organism: Homo sapiens; assembly: GCF_000001405.40. NCBI lineage: Eukaryota > Metazoa > Chordata > Mammalia > Primates > Hominidae > Homo > Homo sapiens. The sequence goes on along the minus strand of NC_000024.10, from coordinate 4,021,931 downwards.
GCTTATACCAGTTTTTGTTTTGCAGCTGATATCACATGGCTTATGCTAATTCAGAGTTTAGATTGATTTCTAAACTTATTACACAGTGTTTTACAGCAACACTCATACTTTCTTAATATTATATATGTAAAATATGTATTTTATATATAGATATATATGTATGATCATATTCTCTTTTAAATGAGTGATAAATCACTCTGATTTTATTTGTCAGTCTCTAAATCTCAATGCTTAAGTATATTTAAAAACAGGATAGGAAGGGACAGAACTACCAAAGGTTCATTGCCAATAATTTCTCTTTGCTTTCAGATGAAATGTTTTCTTCAGGATCATTCTCATGTTAGTTGAGTATTGCAAATCGTTAGTGATAGAAGCAGAAGGCAGACAACTGCCTAGGAAGATAGGAGCAGGTCCCCAGTGAAACCTGGCCTTCAAGCTGGAAACAGTCCTTGGACTGGATTGAGAACCTACCTTCCCGTTTGGGATGCTTTCCTCTGATTGATCCCCATCCTTCTCCTATTTTACATATACTTACCCTTTCCTAATTGGCTTTCTACACTGTTGTGCCCATGTTTGAGTGATGTCTTCGCTTTGACCTTTTTGCATGCTCACAAACTGATCAGTACATACCCCCTATTCTGAGCCCATAAAAGGTCCTGGGCTCAACCATATTAGGGTTCTCTCCTGTCTTTGAGTGGGAGAACTACCCCCAGCCTCCCCTCTTTTTGCTGAGAGCTTTCTTTTCCCTTGATAAATTCTACTCCACTAACTTTTTGATGTCTGCGTGCCTAATTTTTCCTGGTCGTGAGACAAGAACCTGGACCTAGCTGAGCTAAGGAGCAAAAATCCTGCATCATTAAAACTAAAGAACTAATTGTTCATATGCTGAGATTGTGCCACTGTACTCCAGCCTGGGCAACAGAGAGAGATTCCATCTCAAAAAAAAAAAAAAAGTTACTACTTTGTAACTTTTATTTTTATGTAACTTTATTTTAACTTTATTTTATTGTAACTTTATTTTAAAAACAAAGTATTTGCTATTGTATTTGTTCAAAAAAGCTTACAAATCAAAATGAGAGAACTATTCTGTTTGTCAACCCTGAGAAACTACTTAATGTTTTCTGACTCCTTTCGATGTATAGTCAGCATTCGACTATCCATATCTGAACCTCCTACACACACTGTCTCTTTGATGTAAAAACTGCAGGCAAAAATTCCATATTGCATGCATTTTTGCCTTAAACCTTTTTAACTGAAATGATATAGATGAAAAGAAACCATACAGTGGCGGGGGGAGTATAAAAAAACTAGACAAAAGTGAATGAAAGAATTTCTATTCAATTATTACTCCCCACAAACTCAGTTTCATGTTTAAAATTTTCTTATTAAAACTATTTAAATCAATTGCAGGTTAAAACTGTAATATTTTTCTCATATATTTTGTCTTACTTAAACATTTAGTTTGAATTAAGTAATAAAATATTATTCTTTTATGCATAAAATTTGCCATTTGCTATTCTAGAAATTCGATTTGATATATATTTTTTTGTACAGAAAGAGAGCAAAATAAGTTCTGCTCTATCACAAAATAATCTTTTATTTGTGATAATTTGAAAACATTTTAGATTAGTTAGGTAAATTCATTCTTGGGTAGAGCCTTAGCAGAGTGTTTTGGAGGAAATCTGTAAAAAATCAAAATAGTAATGGTTAGGCATTCAATTATTTTCACATCCCTATATCCAATCATTCAGTACAGAAAAATAAGCATTTATTTTGTGCTTTCTATGTACCAGGGACTGAGCTAAACATAAGTTAAAATTTTTTTCTATTTTACTTAAATAACTCACTTTTTTGTATCACAAAGGTGCAAATATAGACAAGAGAGGATTTGTTTTGTTTTTAAATAAACAGTTTTCCTATCTCCCTGCTTTCTTACCTAATGTAAATATAACGCTAAACTAAAACCAGAAGCTTATGTTTTTAAAGAGAACATAAGAATTCATTTAAAAAAAAAACAGAAGTTTACACTGTAAACTGCTTTTGAGATTCTCATATATGATAAGGAGTGTGGTTAAAAAGAAAGCGAAATACATAGTACATGATTCTCCTTTGTTTGCAATTGATGAGCATGACAAGGTATACTCATTTATTACCTTATGGTGTTTCTCTCCTAAAAGTGTTTCTAGGCACCAGTTTCTTACTACTCTCTGCTGCCCTTCAGTGCAATACACCGGTTTCTTCGAGTCCTGACCTACTCTAGCATTCTTTAAAATGATATTTAATTTTTGTAGTGTCCATAAATTAATACATTATTTGTCATTTGTTTTGAATAAACAACACCATCTGCTTCTTAGAGTCCCAAATGTCTGCTTGATGTGCTTTGCCTCCCATTCCATAAAAGTACCAGTTGTGCTGCCAGATCTTTGGAGTACTAGCAAAAACACTTGATTTTTACCAGTAATGGCATAATAAATTACATCACATATTTTTTTTTCAATCAACTGGGACTCTTGTCTGCCATTTAAAATTGACGTATGTTGCCAGTGACAAATACCTGATATTTACAGATTCTATTCTCATCATTACTCATTTCTGGTGTGGCAGGGGGTTGGGGGCTAGCACACAGAAAAATGTATGATGGAGGTGCTATCACTTTTTCTTGTTTGAAAATGTACCATTTCTACATATCTTGTCCTGTGGCACACTAGCTCTGCAACTACAATTTTGTTTCTCAGAAGGGAGTCTTGGGTCATGGAGGTGGCACAACAGCCCAGCATTGTCAATAAACTCAGGCAACTTGAAATAAGCATTGTTAACAGTACATGTAAGGAACTACAAAATCTATAAAGTGTAGCTATCTCTCTGGCATATACTGAATTACTCATTCTTGTTCTTTCAATGTCTAATGATTGAATAGAAATAAAACTGAGGAAACAAAGGAGGCAATATGAAAACCTCTTGAAAATAAAGTAGTACCTGTTAATTCAAAGTATCACTACAACGCTAAAGAAGAATTGAAGAAGCACTTATAAGAGTGGGAAGGTCATCAGTGTTGATGAGGTACTAATTCATTGAACAATATCAATAATATAACAATAATCAGTGAAAATGAAATTAAGTTTATCAGTGACCATAGGACCAAATGTGTTTTGAGCAAAATGTATTTCTTTATATGGAGACTCAAAGAACACTGCTATAATTATGGCTGAACTTCATGGATAGTAAAAACTTTAAGAGCTGTGACACCCTGGGAGAACCAGGTGGATAAGAAAAGAAACTGCAGCCAAAGAATTCTTCAGCTGCAAAGTGGTACAAAGTGGAACTTCAGACACTTACATGGTTGGCCACAGGCTCTACTAGATTATAAGTACCTGGAATCCATGAATGAAAGCATCAGAGGTCATTTTGCTAATCAGTGACTTTGGGAGTGATCTAGAATAGAAGACTAGAGATTCAGGATGCAAGGCCTGAATTTATTCTAACAATGTCCAGTACATCAAATATCACCGAAACAGGTCTGAGAAACAGGGTCAAGATTGACTAAATCAACTCTGGAGGTTACTTAGGGTAAATTCCTCAATAAATAAAAGCTTGCAAGGGATTTTAAATTAAAGTTATCTGCAATGAAGTATTTTCTTGATCTGCAAGTTGCATATGTTTTCTGTTCTTTCTTTCTCTCTTCCTATTGAGAAAGACTCTCTCCTTGACTGAACTATAGTCAGGCTCCTCTAAGTCTTATTTTGGTTTAAACATTCACATTAGCCCCCATCTAATCTTTAAACTGCATAGCCCAGTTTTAGAAAGAATTCTACTAAATCAGTTAATTTAGCAAGAATCTCCCATTCTTGATATCTTCTCTTTGTAGTTTGCTATCCACTGAAACCCTCCTCAACTTTTCCCGTCTCTGCTCCTTGGCTATTAGCCACAGCTGTCTTTCTGCATTCAGATTTGAACCAGATCACTCTCCCCTACTGCAAAAGTTTTTACATCTATAGCAACAGCTCTGAATAAACTCTTCCTTACCATTTTAACAAGTGTATAAATAATTTTGTTTTTAACACTAAAAAGTGAGAGTATGAAATAGATGGTAAATGCATTTCAAAACCTCTATTATCATATGATTTTGAAAACTGATTTTTTTTCTATTACACCTATTAGATGGATTGTTAATAAAGCTCTATGTTCTATCCCTTGTCCAGGATTGTTAAAAGTGTAAAATTGGCATTTACTTATTGGGGATTTTATGTTTTTGAGTAAAGATCAACTGATTTCAAATTTAATATCCCCAAAACACAAGGTTTTAAAGCCATTAATCATCGGAAACAAAGTTACCATATTCTTTAACTAGGATACAATCTCTCCATCTCCTTTTCTTTGCAGAAATCTGTAAACCTTTCCAGAGGTCCAAACCACTTTGGTGGAGAGAATTGCTTTCCATGTAGCAAAATTCTACTTTACATATTCCCTAGCGAGTGAGTGGTATCAACAGTATGTTGGTAAACCTCCATGAATTCAGTAATTGTTCCCAGGCTGTTTCAATTGTCACACTGTTTTAAATTCAAGAATCTGGTAACATTAGGGAGGAAGTCACTGACTGCTTCTAAACCAAGCTGACCCACAGGCTACATGCAGTCCAGGACAGCTTTGAATGCCGCCCCACACAAACTCATAAACTTTCTGAAAACATAATGAGATTATTTTGTGATTTCTTTTTTAGCTTATCAGCTATCATTAGTGTTAGTATATTTTATGTTTGGCCCAAGACAATTCTTCCTCTAATGTGGCCCAGGGAAACCAAAAGATTAGACACCGCTGTTCTAAACAGAAGGACAACAATGCATACAAGACTGCTGACCTTAATATCAAATACTCATGAGAGGGTTACCTTGTTTGTAAATCACATATAGAGAACAATTTCAAAAATGACAACTAAATTATCATAAAATGCATATTGATATTCTTACAATTATTGTTTAAACATCTGACTATGTAAACATACAAAAAAAAAAACAGAAAAAAATCACCTTTCTCTAGCCTATTTATTAAGATATTAAATGAATACATAAAATAAAATAATACTATAAGGAGGCAAATCTTTGCATACCTAAAGACAAAGAAGAATCTTACCTAGAAGATTATAGCAGGCAAAAAATTACTACAAACACACACACAGAGACATCTGTATCATTCCAACTCTTGTTTGTAAAGAGAAAGGAAGTTTATTTTTTAAAAAAATTATTCAAACGTAATAGATAGAAATAAGTACACACAGATTTGTGGATATAAATAGGCTAGTGCATGAATCCAGAATAAGCAGATTCACTCTCTGAGGATGAATAAATATTCTATTAGGAATAATCTGGACAAAAGCATAGTTTTAAATATAGTTCTACAAATTATGTTGATTATTCTAAAAATGAAATAATGTATTTTGCAGCAACTTAGATGGAACCAGAGATCATTATCTCAAGTTGTTACAATAGGTAGCTAGTCAGACACCAACAGGGTGGAAGAGAGTTTTTCCTTGACACCAGGAATATCAGGGGACCATCAGGTGATGGTCAGGCAGTTGTTACACAGTCTCTAAAATAATAATTGATCACAGCAGGTGCCAGGGAAAGGCAGTCTCCCTACAGATAGAAAAAAAACCTGAAACTGGTGATCAGTAGCTTCTCGATAAGATATCAGGAGTTGGAAAAATGCCTAAGAGGCAAGATGGCAGAGTTTAACTGGTATATGATTTCTTAGGGACATTTGGCTGGTAAAGAAAGAACACCTCAAGTGAGCATTCATACAACTCCAGTAAACACACCGCACATGCTCCCCTCCCAACTGCTGGCAGGCCACTGCGCATGCAGACAGCCCACCCCAAAGGTGAAGTCAGGGGAGAAGTTATGCAAAACCCCAGAATTATGCCAACATATAAAACCTCAGGTCAAAAAGTAAAACTGCACACTTGTCTTTCAAGTTGACCACTTGACCTTCTTCCAAGTATACTTTCCTTCCTTTTGTTTCTGCTCTAGAGCTTTTAAAATAAAGTTTTACTCCTGCTCTAAAATTTCCCTGGGTTTCTCCTTCTACCTTAGGCTCCTCAGTTGAATTATTTCTTCTGAGATGGCAAGAATCGAGGTTGCTGCAGACCCATACAGATTTGTTGCTGCCAAAATATTTTGGTGCCATATGACTCAGATAACTTCCACTGCTAACATACTTTGGTGCTACATGATTTGAATACATTCCCTAGTGGTTAAGAGATCTCTACCCCTCATCTTCTTCGGCTGGGGATGTTCAACCACTGCACATGGTTTCTTCTCCCTGTCTCCCTTCTTCTTATTAACAAACATCTAGAACAAGTCCTTTTGGCCGTAAGTGACTCTGTTTCCCCAGCTTATCACTCAGCTCACCCAGAAGGGTGACTCGTGGGGATGGGATTGGCCTTGGGGTCTGAACTGAGTAGAATGGAGGCACTAATGGCCCTCCTGGACAGGTGGCTCATGAGAGTGGTAGGGATAAAACCTAAAACCGTGCAATGCTGGGGATTCGTCTGCTTTTTCAACTAAAATGGGCTCTTTCCCAAGACCTCACATTGCCAATTTTTTTTTTTCTGTGTGTGTTCTAAAATGGCCTTGCACACCCACCAGACTGTCCACCTCAGGGGCAACTCCAACCCTTTGCTTTTACTTCACATGTCACGTGACCTCATCACACACTTCCTGTTATTCTTGCACCTGTGGCTGTTACTGCACTTGCACAGCAGCAAAGAAACGGCTTTCCTTTCGGATGTCCACTGGCCCATTGCCAGGACAGACAATAATTGGAACCTAGCTCTGCCATCTCCTTATAACTTAGCATATGCTTTTAATTCCTGTTATGCCCCAGGGCCAAGTTTCCCAGGGTCTTGAAGCAGTTTGTCCACCTATATAGGGCCTCACTCTTGCCCTTGAAGGAGCCCACCTATTTGTGCTTTTTTGAGTTAGCACCTTTTTTGCAGGAGGGGATTTTTTTCTTTGCCATTTATGAGTTCTTATCCCAAGCCCCAAGTCCTCCGGAAGTTACTACTTTACATCAAGAGGGCAAATAAACATTACCCTCTTGAATCCAAAGGCTGCTGGATTCTTGCTTCTTCTCACTTCTTCCTGTGGCCTCCATTTCTCTAATTATTTTCGCATCCTTCTCAATATGCATCAAGACCTTCAAGGTCATATTTGAAGCAAGTGGGGAGGAAAGTCCAGCCCCCTTGTAGCAGTTAGCTACAAGGCTTCTCATCTACTTAAAGAACATGGGAAATGAGAATCTAAGAAAATATGTATACGTTTTTCTGGAAGGCTTTACGCAACAGTCATTACAAGGTCACGAAGACAAGGATATAGGCCGGGCCAAGGCTGCAGGTGCAAGAGACCCATAGGGCAGAGATGAAGGTTGGTCCCAGGCTAACCGATTACCATCAGAACAGAGATAAAGGCAAGGTTACAGGTACACAGTAAGACGGGTTCATTCCAGAACCCCAAGGATAAACAGGGGGCCCACTGTTCACTCCAGTATCTCCTCTGTTCTCAAGTGGATAATTGTGAACAGATGACACCAAAGGTACATGGTAAAACTGGTTAATTCTGGAACCCTAAGGACAATGGGAGATGCCCCATTCAGAATAATAGAAAAGTAGAGGGAACACCTTCTTCTTTCTTTTTTCTTTCTTTTCTCCTGTTTTCTTTGCAGATGGGTAATCACATCTTTTTTGTTTTGTTTTTTTGTTTTGTTTTTGAGATGGAGTTTCATTCTTGTTGGCCAGGCTGGAGTGCAATAGTGCGTGATCTTGGCTCATCACAAGCTCTGCCTCCTGGTTCAAGAGATTCTCCTGCCTCAGCCTCCTGAGTAGCTGGGATTATAGGCATGTGCCACCACACCCGGCTAATTTTGTATTTTTAGTAGAGATGGGGTTTCTCCATGTTGGTCAGGCTGGTCTCAAACTCCTGACCTCAGGTGATCCACCCCCTCAGCCTCCCAAAGTGCTGGGATTACAGGCATGAGCCACTGCATCCAGCCTAGCAATCACATCTTTATACCACAGGACATGCCCCTCAGATGCATTCCCCTAAAACTGGAAAATGTGTGATTCCCCTAAACCTTAACACATAAAATGAGTTTTCTGTTTTAATATTGTTTGGCTTTAAAATAAAGTGGGAAAAAATTACAAAAGTCAGCCTTGGAATGCAGTGCCCCTGTGATGGAGGTCTTGAGATTAGCTTCCTCAGTCTTTTATAACTGAGAGTAGAATATGGACAACAGGGCTAAGAACAGGAGAAACGCAGGCTAACTATTTTGACTGCTTTACAAGCTCTCCAGCCCCTTCCAGGTTGCCCTAATAACACTCCTTCAGGTAACTGTCATTGGTGCAGTAAGCCAGGCCACTGGAAGGCAAACTGTCCCAATGGGATAAATGGCAAAAGCTGCACACAGCTTGCCCCTCTGCCACAAGCTTGGCCGCTGGAACAGGACTGCCCTGAGAGCGGAAGGGCCCCTGGGAAATAATCCCAACCTTTTATGGCCTTGAGCAGAATGGGCTGTCTGGACCAATCGGCTCCCAGATCAGACATCATCAATGGAACAAAGCCAAGAGCAACTCTGGAGGAGGCAAGTAAAATTATAAATTTCCCTTTTGGGCTTAAGAGCTGCCTAGTCTGAGCTAATCTTTCCTGAGCAACTCTCTTTCAACTCCTATTGGCTAATGGAGGTTAATGGCACTACCTTCCTCCAAAAGAGTATTCACACTTCAGGGCAAAAATGTACTTTCTAAGATGGATGACTTCTTAATATTTACCCTACCTCTGAATTTAATATTTACCCTACCTCTGAATTTATCTTTCTCCCTAATAACTACTTCAATCTGGTCAGTCCTACCTCATGGGTTTAGAAATAGTCCACACTTATTCAGAAAAGCCCTAAAAAAATCTTACCAAGCAATCTCTTGAGGGGAGGTAACATCTGCAGTATGCAGATAACCTGCCTATTTGCTCCCTCTTCACAGTATATACACAGCAACATGTAGTACAAACCATAATTTCTTAACAAAAATAAAATGACTTTTGTCTAATTCAAAGGTTATAAAGGCAAAGAGGTATTTTTGGTAAGGAATGTTATAAAGAAAAGGGATTTTATATAAGAAAATATCTTGTATGGTAAATTGTTGTCCCAGAGTAAAATAACAGGGTGTTTAAAAAGAGGAATGTTTAGGACAAATCAGAAAGTTAAAACATGTTGTAGAAGATTTGTGTAAGTTGGGAGAAGACTCATGAAAGGAAATTTAAGAAAAAAATATTAAACAATTTAAAGGCTATTAAGCCTCCTTTATGCTTCATAAACTGCTACTAAGACTCTTAATTATGCAAATTGTTTGCTTTCAAGCTAGGTAAGGCCTGGGGACATACAAAGTTAATCAGGTCCCTAGCTATAACAAAGTTTCAAACCTTATCTGCACTGCTGTCTGGTGTCCTAGGCTAGATACCTAGTACATAATTAGAATTGCTTACTTACCAGGTATTTCCCCAAAACTAAAAGTTGCTAAGAGTTAACATTGTAATATGTACCTGAGTCTATTGGAAAAACAGTTTTACACACAAGGCATGCAAGGAAAGTAGAATGTGCTTTTGGTAGAAGATTATAAGAAGGCATGGGAATGTGGATATTTTGCCTTACTTAGAGGGTTAAAAGATTGTTTTAAGTTAGGGTATAGCTAAAGGTTTAGGCAAGTCGTGCAAGGCTTGTGAAAAATTCATCTTGTAAAGAAATTGTGGTTGTGGACATATTAGCTACAACTAAAGTGGTATTATTCAGTTTATCTGTAAATTGAACATTGGAATAAAAAGCATGACACATTTTGCCTAGAGCATTATTCTGCTCTTTAACAGAAAATGGTAAAGGCTTATAAAAGGTTTATGAGATTCTTACCTTATGGTCAGACTGCTTCCCTTATACAACTGAATGCCTTTAACAAAACCCACGTCACCTCTTGAATGCTTTACTACTTAAAAATTTCTTCCACCAGATGCCCTAAATCATCTTTCTCAAGTTCAAAATTCCACAAATCTCTAGGGCAGGGGCAAAATGCCACAAGTCTCTTTGCTAAAACATAAGAAGAGTCACATTTGCTCCAGCTCCCAACAAGTTCTTCATCTCCATCGGGGACTACCTCAGTCTCACCTCAGGTTTAATTGGACTTACTGTTCCACATGGCTAGGTAGGCTTCAGAATCATGGCAGGAGGTGAAAGGCACTTCTTACACGGTGGTGGCAAGAGCAAATGAGAATGATGCAAAAGTGGAAACCCCTGATAAATCCATCACATATTGTATGTCTTATTCACTACCACGAGAAGAATATGGGGGAACTGTCCCATGATTCAAATTATCTCCCACCAGGTCCCTCCCACAACATGCAGGAATTATGGGAGTATAATTCAAGATGAGACTTGGGTGGGGACACAGAACCAAACCATATCACCTTGTTTTAATCCTCTAAAAGGTGGTTACATAATCAGCTACAGGACTTTACTAATGTGTTTATAAATTTCAAGCAAAACAGGAAATAGTTGCATACATTTAACTAATAAAAGACCAAAGTAATCTTTTTTGACTTTCGCTTAAAATGTTGCCAATCCATTCTTTGTTTTTTCAAAGCCAAGAAAATTTTTCTTTTGAGCTACTTATAGCTTTTAACAATTGAGCACTCCTGTAGACAAAACTTGGAGCATATTTATTTCTCTCTACCTGATTTCTCCAGAATTTGGAAACTATCTGTGAAGTATTCTTAACTTATGGCAATATAGTTATTTGCATATGTGCAATAAGAATCTGTTCTCTTTTACAACAGGACATAACTGGAGAAACTGGTTATTTTATTATACCAAGGCTTTGACTAGAATGGTGTACTTTCCTTTAAGAAATCAAACTTTACTTATAGAGTCTAGAAAAGCCCCTTGGGAAAACTGGCCTCATAGCTTTTCTCCACATATTTTGTCCTTGTCCCTGTACAGAGTTCCTGAACTGTGATAAGTAAAGAATGTCACTTTCTAACAATCACAGGAACCCCAAGTTATTTTGAGACCTCAATAGGAGAGAAATTCACCCCTCATAAATGTATTTAATGGCACCAATCCATGGCTGTGCTTAAGGCTTCAAACAGAGTCTTATCTGAGATTCCTTATGGAATGAAGTTGCATCAAAGCCAAATTAAAAAGAAAGCTATATGGCAAATAATTATTTTTGCTGTGCTTTATGCAAATAATCAGGCCAAGTAAAATAAGAAAATAAGACTAAAGTTTTTTTTTTTTTTTGCAAACAACGCTATATTTGTTTTGAATAACAAATGAGGACTGGAGACTGAAAAATTATGTTTCAAGAACTATGGTATACCTATTATTAGATTCTAGTCTCATCAGTTGTTTTTGAGTTTTTATCTGCAATTTAGACTAACCCTGCCTATTTCTGTGAACCAACCAGTGATCTCTGGCTGCAGCTCCGAAGAAACAAAGGGATAGGTAATGTAAAAATCTGAATCAATATTCTAATTCTGGGCACATACTGCAATCAGTTAGCAACCCCATAAATCCAAGACTAAGCAGGCATGAATACAGCGACCAGTTACCTGGGCATGTTGGCAGTCTCGGAATTTTTTGGAGCTGTTATTACCCACTTAATTTGTTTTGACATTCTAATAACTCAGTTTGTCTTCTCAGCTTCACACCATCCAGCTCCAGATAATGGAGGCAAAATCCTGCCCCTGTCTCCCTAGGACCTGGTTGGATACCACTTTTACCAAATCATGAAGCCACCTTCCTACCCTTACAGCTAGAAACAGGCCAAGACCCACAGAACAACCATCACTGCCCCTCTGTCAGCAGGCAGCAGTTACAGAAGATGGACCTGCATCCATTTTCCCCAAATAATTGGGGTCTTGGACTCTTGAGAGAAGAAATATTACAGTAAATAGCTAGTCAGACATGAACAGGGCAGGAAAGGGTGCCTCCTCAACAAGGAATATCAGGCAACCATCAGGTGATGGTCAAGCAGTTACACTGCCCCTCTAAAATAGTAATTGGCCACAGCCAGCACCAGAGAAAGCAAGTTTACCTGTAGATAGAAAAAACCGGAAACTGGTGATCAGTAGCTTCCTGGTAAGATCTCAGGAGTTGGGTGAGTGAGCTGAAGCATGCGTACTAAGAGGAAAATGGCAGAGCTCAACTGGTATACGATCTCTGTGAAAGGAAAATAAATCTTGGGACCCCAAAATAATTAAGCTAAAAAGAAAACTCAAGCTGGGAACTGCTTAGGGTAAACCTGCCTCCCATTCTATTCAAAATCATCCCTCTGCTCACTGAGATAAATGCCTATCTGATTGCCTCCTTTAGAAAGGCTAATCAGAAACTCAAAAGAATGCAATCATTTGTCTCTCATCTACCTGTGACCTGGAAGCCCCCTCGCTGCTTTGAGTTGTCCCACCTTTTTGGACGGAATCAATGTACATCATACAGATATTGATTGATGTCTCATGTCTCCCTAAAATGTAAAAACCAAGCTGTGCTTTGACCACCTTGGGCATGTGTCGTCAGGACCTCCTGAGGCTGTGTAATGGGTGCACATCTTAAACCTTGGCAAAATAACCTTCCTAAATTTCCTGAGACCTGTCTTAGATATTCATCATTCACATTTTGGCAATCATGAAGAGATTCTGAGTAGAAGCATCCTTGACCTTTGACAAATCTCCTATTGGTGCTTGGTACCAGCTTGAGCTATCTTTATGGCTCAAACCAATAGGGCAATTTGCTTAGGCCTGGAAGCACCCCGTCCAAAGAATCCCTGGTATCCCAAAATTTGGTCGAGATTTGAAGTATGTTTTGCTGTACAACTCCCTTTTATGGAATTTTACTTGCGAGTAACAAGAAATGCAAGTTTTCCTGCTTTCATGATGATGGAAGATGGGTAACTTTTTTTATGGAGTTTGAGCTCGCTTCCAACAGGGAAGACAAATTTGAGTTTTTTCCTGCTTCTAGGATGGACAGTCTTCAGCCTGAGGCCCATCCCTAGGTGATTAGCTCAATTGGGGTTTGTCCTTGCTAAAGTTAAGATTAACAACCAGCTTGTCTTAATTTCTCCTTACCATTAGAGTGCTAAGTAATTGTATAAGTTGTGCGATCATTTGTTTTGCTTAACGGTTTTGTTGTTGTTGTTTGTTTCTGTTTTTGTTGTTGTTTCAGTCTTTTTCCCATTGGGTTTCATCAGCTCTATCTGACTTGATAAAATCCAAAAGGAAGTTTCAAATTATGGGGAACAAGGCCCTAAAGTGGCTAAATTCCCCCTCCCCGCTCCCCACAAAAAGGTGGTATAGTTGAGGGGGAAATGGCCTGCAAAAGAAAAAGATTTTTTATTTTGACTTCTTAAGGGGCTTTATTTACATAACAAGGCCACCTTTTCACTAGCCATTTCACTAGCCAGTCCAAACTAAAAGAGCAATGGTTGTTTCCCCATACTGTAGTTCCATAGCTATGCTTCTGCCTTTGTTTTTTACCATGGCAGCCTGGGTTTGGTTCCTAAAACAAGCCGTTTCTGGTTTGATACTTGGTACTTCTGAAGTAGCAGCAATTTTCTCTAGCTGAAATACGGTAATGAGATTTTTAAAAAAAGATTTTTTTAAAGGAGCTCAATGGTTAAAAGTCAGCTTAACTAAAAGCCAGCATCCAAGATGTATGTGTGTATGTTTGCATGTGTGTGTGTATTTGTATTTGAAAGGTCTTCATATTTTTGTTTTACTTTTCTTTTCACCTAGGACTTTGCCTTTCTGAGCAAAAGTTAATTTCCTTCTCAGTTGACTGAATTCTGTTTCCTTTATTTACTTCTGCGTCTCTCCTTTCTCTTGCATCCTCTGTTGCATGAGGGACCTAAAATAGTTTCTAATTGCCTGGGGGTTAATTAAAAAATGGAGAAGGTGCCAGACTCACTTCTGGGGAGAAATCTCTGTTTTTCCTTATGGAACCCCAAGAGTGTAAACAGAAAAGTTTATCTCTGCCTTTAAACTGCTTGCTTTTGTATTGTGTTACCTGATTTTTTGACTAAGATAGTTGTTGCAACAGAGGCTACTCTTGGGTTTTTAAGGAAGAGTGTAGAGACTTAGAAATGTCTTTGTTTAAAAAAAATTATGGTGCACTGTAAACTCATCACAGGCCTAGTCTCATAATTTTCTTTTGGAGACTCACGATTCAGTGTGGGCTCTGCTCAGAGCTCAGAGATCCGGTTAAAAATAGGTAGTCCCTATCTAAATAAAATTGGTATTCTTATACACTCTTATGATAAATTTTTATTTTAATGTTTAATGTGGCATCCATCTTTAATCTCCCTCTAGAACCACCAGATTTTTTCTCTCTGAACCTTGAGAAGTAAATTTTGCTATTTGATTTTTCACATAAGACTTGTTTCCTTTAATATGCAGATTTATCGGACAACTTCCAGGATAATGAAACAGGTTATCAAGAGATTGCAAGTCTAAGATGGGGGAAAAAAAAAGGTCTCATGAATCAATAAGATGTACTTCTATTGGCATGCCAAATACGTCTGTGTATTTATGGGTTGTGTACACAGTGTTTCACTATTTAAAATATATAAAAGAGCTCTAATTAATTGGCTTAAAGAGAAATAAAAACACTTAAATCAATACCAGAACAAAGGAAAGACTAGTTAAATGTTTTTTCAAGTTTATATGACTTAAGTAAATTCGCTAATAAATAAGCTAGTTGAAAATTATTGGTAAAGTAATATTAAAAATGTCTTAGGAACTTCCAGCATACATTTTCATTTGCATTTATTGATCAAGCAATTTCATACTTATCCCTGTCAACTACTATGTGTCAGAGTTTGGCACAGGCAATACAAAACTATAAAACCCAGACCAAAACAGAATGATGTTTGCTTGTGTGATTTTTGATAAATAAGACATTGATATTGGTTTAATAAAAATAGCTACATCTGGAATTATTTAGTACAGTTACCATAACGGCCTTAAGCAGTCTATTCCACAGGTAGTAAGGAGCTTTGTTTTGAGAAAGAACTGTTCTTATCTTTGTTTCAAAGCTAAACCATAAACTAAGTTCCCTCCAAAGTTACTATGGCCTATGTTCAGGAATAAACAAGGACAGCTGGAGGTTAGAAACAGGATGGAGTCAGTTAGGTGAGATATGTTTCACTGTCTCAGTTATAATTTTGCAATGGTAGTTTTATAACTTACATAATAACTATTGCAGTTTTCATAAAAAATCTATGTAAATGATTAAAATAATTAGGTAAATGTAATAGGATAAAAACTTGTAGACAAACATGACAATTTAATATCTAAAGTTAAATAATAGATATTTCATTATTTTGGTATTTTTTGATAATAATATATTGTAGAAAATCTCTTTTTCTAAAAAAGTGTTCTTTTTAAAACAGTGAACATTTTTTGTCTAACTCAAATTTTATTTAAATATTATATATAAAACAAGGTAAAAAGAGCCAGGAAATAAGAGAGATGTGAAGAAAGTTACAGAAATAAAGAGTTATTTGTTGGTGAGAAAGCTTAAAAAGACATAATTTTATATGAGTAAAAAATTTTGTATTGTAAATTTAGTCTTAGAGGCTTTATTAAAAACAAATCTTTGTGTGATAAAGTTGTTTATAATTAAAGGGAAATTATAATGGTCTTTCTAGAAATTAGGTTTGATGTTAAAAAACACTTCCACACTAAAGAATTGGTTAGAAGAGTGAAATTTCTGAAGGGATTGATTTACTCTGAATACATTATAAGATATTTTCATTATTTTTAACCATAAGTTCAACTTTTATTACATCTCATCATTTTTGTTTTGTCTCCGCTTTTAAAAGGCATGAAATGGTAATGCTCTCCTTCAACTCATTTTCAGCTCATATATGCTTTCCCCCACCTCAGGTTCTCTTTGTTATGGCCTGATGCTAACAATGTTTTCTGAAAGGTCTGAAGGAAATGTTTTCTTCCAACATAATATTCTGTGCACTGCAGAAGGTCTTTTTATTTATTTATTTATTTAATTATACTTTAAGTTCTGGGATATATGTGCAGAATGTGCAGGTTTGTTACATAGGTATACATGTGCCATGGTGGTTTGCTGCACCAATCAACCTGTCATCTACATTAGCTATTTCTCCTAATGCTATCCCTCCCCTAACCCTCCACCCACTGACAGACCCCAGTGTGTGATGTTCCCCTCCCTGTGTCCATGTGTTCACATTGTTTGACATTAGTGAGAGCATGCGGTGTTTGGTTTTCTGTTCCTGTGTCAGTTTGCTGAGAGTAGTGGTTTCCAGCTTCATCCATGTCCCTGCAAAAGACATGAATTAATCCTTTTTTATGGCTGCATAGTATTCCATGGTGTATATGTGCCACATTTTCTTTATCCAGTCTATCACTGATGGGCATTTGGGTTGGTTCCAAGTGTTTGCTACTGTAAATAGTACTGAAATAAATACACGTGTGCATGTGTCTTTGTAGTAGAATTACTTATAATTTTTTGGATATATACCCAATAATGGGATTGCTGGGTCAAATAGTATTTCTAGTTCTAGATCCTTGAGGAATCACCACACTGTCTTCCACAATGGTTGAATTAATTTACATTCCCACCAACAGTGTAAAAGCATTCCTATTTCTCCTCATCGTCTCCAGCATCTGTTGTTTCCTTACTTTTAAATGACTGCCATTCTTTTTGTTTTTTGTTTTTTTTTTTTTTTGAGACGGAGTCTCAGTCTGTTGCCAGGCTGGAATGCAGTGGTGCCATCTCAGCTCACTACAACCTCCGCCTCCCGGGTTCAAGTGATTCTCCTGCCTCAGCCTCCCAAGTAGCTGGGACTACAGGCATACATCACCACGCCCAGCTAATTTTTGTATTTTTTAGTAGAGATGAGGTTTCACCTTCTTGGTCAGGCTGGTCTCGATCTCTTGACCTCATGATCCGCCCGCCTCGGCCTCCCAAAGTGCTGGGATTACAGGCGTGACCCACCGCGCCTGTCCTCAAATGACCGCCATTCTAACTGGCATAAGATGGTACCGCATTGTGGTTTTGATTTGCATTTCTCTAATGACCAGTGATGATGAGCTTTTTTTCATATGTTTGTTGGCCGCATAAATGTCTTCTTTCGAGAACTGTCTGTTCATATCCTTCACTCACTTTTTGATGGGGTTGTTTGTTGTTTTCTTGTAAATTTGTTTAAGTTCTTTGTAGATTCTGGATATTAGCCCTTTGTAAGATGGATAGATTGCAAAAATTTTCTCTCATTCTGCAGGTTGCCTGTTCACTCTGGTGATAGTTTCTTTTGCTTTGCAGAAGCTCTTCAGATTAATTAGATCCCATTTGTCCATTTTGTCTTCTGTTGCCATTCCTTTGGGGTTTTAGTCATGAAGTCTTTGCCCATGCCTATGTCCTGAATGGTGTTTTCTAGGTTCTCTTCTAGGGTTTTTAGGTCTTACATTTAAGTCTTTAGTCCATCTTGAGTTAATTTTTATATAAGGTGTAAGAAAGGGGTCCAGTGTCAGTTTTCTGCATATGGAAAACCAGTTTTCCCAAAACCATTTATTAAATAAGGAATCCTTTCCCCATTGCTTGTTTTTGTCAGGTTTGTCAAAGACGAGATGGTTGCAGATGTGTGGCATTATTTCTGAGGCCTCTGTTCTGTTCCATTGGTCTATATATCTGATTTGGAACCAGTACCATGCTGTTTTGGTTACTGCAGACTTGTAGTATAATGTGAAGTCAGGTATTCTGATGCCTCCAGCTTTGTTCTTTTTGCTTAGGATTCTCTTGGCTTTATGGGCTCTTTTTTGGTTCCATATGAAATTTAAAGTAGTTTTTTCTAATTATGTGAAGAAAGTCAATGGTAGTTGATGGGGATGGCATTGAATCTATAAATTACTTTTGGCAGTGTGGCCATTTTCAGGATATGGATTCTTCCTGTACATGAACATGGAATGTTTTTTCATTTGTTTGTGTCCTCTCTTATCTCCTTGAGCAGTGATTTGTATTTCTCCTTGAAGAGGTCCTTCATATCCCTTGTAAGTTGTATTCCTAGGTATTTTATTCTCTTTGTAGCAACTGTGAATTGGATTTCACTCATGATTTGGCTCTCTGTCTATTATTGTTGTATAGGAATGCTTGTGATTTTTGCACATTGATTTTGTATCCCAAGACATTGCTGAAGCTGCTTATCAGCTTAAGAAGATTTTGGGTTGATACAATGGAGTTTTCTAAATATACAATCATGTCATTTGCAAACAGAGACAATTTGACTTCCTCTCTTCCCATTTGAATACACTTTATTTCTTTCTCTTACCTGATTGCTTTGGCCAGAACTTCCAATAGTCTGTTGAATAAGAGTGGTGAGAGAGGGCATCCTTGTCTTGTGCCGGTTTTCAAACAGAATGCTTCCAGCTTTTGCCCATCCAGTATGATATTGGCTGTGGGTTTGTCATAAATAGCTGTTATTATTTTGAGATACATTGCATCAAAACCTAGTTTGTTAAGAGTTTTTAGCATGAAGAGGTGTTGAATTTTATCAAAGGCCTTTACTGCATCTATTGAGATAATCGTGGTTTTTGTCATTGGTTCTGTTTATGTGAGGGGTTACGTTTAATGATTTGAAGATGTTGAACCTACCTTGCATCCCAGGGATGAAGCTGACTTGATCATGGTGGATAAGCTTTTTGATGTGATGCTGGATTCGGTTTGTCTATTTTATTGAAGATTTTCACATCAATGTTCCTCAGGGATATTGGCCTGAAATTTTCTTTTTTTGTTATGTCTCTGCCAGCTTTTGGTATCAGGAGGATGCTGGCCTCATAAAATGAGTTAGGGAGGATTCCCTCTTTTTCTATTGTTTGGAATAGTTTCAGAAGGAATGGTACCAGCTCCTCTTTGCACCTTTGGTAGAATTCAACTGTGAAGGCTTCTGGTACTGTTTTTTTTTTTTTATTGGTAGGCTATTAATTACTGCCTCAATTTCAGAACTTGTTATTGGTCTATTCAGGCATTTGACTTCTTCCTTAGTCTTTGGAGGGTGTGCGTGTCCAGGAACTTTTCTATTTCTTCTAGATTTTCCAGTTTACTTGCGTAGAAGTGTTTCTAGTATTCTCTGATGGTAGTTTGTATTTCTGTGGGATTGGTAGTGATATCCCCTTTATCATTTATTATTGTGTCTATTTGATTCTTCTCTCTCTTCTTTTTTTAATTAGTCTGGTTAGTGGTCTATCTATTTTGTTAATCTTTTCAAAAAGCCAGCTTCTGGATGCATTGATTTTTGGAAAGGTTTTACATATCTCTGTCTCCTTCAGTTCTGCTCTGATCTTATTTATTTCTTGTCTTCTGGTAGATTTTGAATTTGTTTGCTCTTGCTTCTCTAGTTGTTTTAATTGTGATGTTAGGGTGTCGATTTTAGATCTTTCCTGCTTTCTCCTGTGGACTTTCAGTGCTATAAATTTCCCTCTAAATACTGCTTTAAATATGTCCCAGAGATTCTGATACATTATGTCTTTGTTCTTATTGGTTTCAAATAACATCTTTTTTTCTGCCTTAATTTCATTATTTACCCAGTAGCCATTCAGGAGCAGGCTGATCAGTTTCCATGTAGTTGTACAGTTTTGAATGAGTTTCTTAATCCTGAGTTCTAATTTGATTGCACTGTGGCCTGGGAGACTGTTTGTTATCATTTCCATTCTTTTGCATTTGCTGAGGGGTGTTTTACTTCCAATTATGTGTTCAATTTTAGAATAAGTGTGATGTGGTACTGAGAAGAATGTATATTCTGTTGATTTGAAGTGGAGAGTTCTGTAGATGTCTATTAGGTCTGTTTGGTCCAGAGTTGAGTTCAATTCCTGAATATTCTTGTTAATTTTCTGTCTTGTTGTTCTGTCTAATATTGACAGTGGGGTGTTAAAGTCTCCCAGTATTATTGTGTGGGGGTCTAAGTCTCTTTGTAAGTTTCTAAGAACTTGTTTTATGAGTCTGGGTGCTCCTGTATTGGGTGCATATATATTTAGGATAGTGAGCTCTTCTTGTTGCATTGGTCCCTTTACCATTATGTAATGCCCTTCTTTGTCTTTTTTGATCTTTGTTGGTTTAACGTCTGTTTTATCAGAGACTAGGATTGCAACCTCTGCTTTTCTTTCCCCTTCCATTTGCTCCGTAAATATTCCTCCATCTCTTATTTTGAGCCTATGTGTGTCTTTGCACGTGAGATGGGTCTCCTGAATACAGCACACTGATGGGTCTTGACTCTTTATCCAATTTGCCAGTCTGTGTCTTTTAATTGGGGAATTTAGCCCATTTACATTTAAGGTTAATATTGTTATGTGTGAATTTGATCCTGTCATTATGATGCTAGCTGGTTATTTTGCCTGTTAGTTGATGCAGTTTCTTCATAGTGTCAATGGTCTTTACAATTTGCTGTTTTTGCAGTGGCTGATACTGGTTTTTCCTTTCCATGTTTAGTGCTTCCTTCAGGAGCTCTTGTAAGGCAGGCTTGGTGGTGACAAAATCTTTCAGCATTTGCTTGTCTGTAAGGATTTTATTTCTCCTTCGCTTATGAAGCTTAGTTTGGCTGGATACAAAATTCTGGGTTGAAGATTCTTGTCTTTAAGAATGTTGAATATTCCGCCCCCCACTGTCTTCTGGCTTGTACGGTTTCTGCAGAGAGATCTGCTGCTAATCTGATGGACTTCACCTTGTGAGTAACCCGAACTTTCTCTGGCTGCCCTTAACATTTTTCCTTCATTTCAACCTTGGTGAATCTGACAATTATGTGTCTTGGGGTTGCTCTCCTCAAGGAGTATCTTTGTGGTGTTCTCTGTATTTCCTGAATTTGAATGTTGGCCTGTCTTGCTAGGTTGGGGAAGTTCTCCTGGGTAATATCCTGAAGAGAGTTTTCCAGCTTGGCTCCATTTTCCCCATCACTTTCAGGTACCAATCAAACGCAGATTTGGTCTTTTCACATAGTCCCGTATTTCTTGGAGGCTTTGTTCATTCCTTTTCTTTCTTTTTCTGTCATCTTGTCTTCATGCTTTATTTCATTAAGTAGATTGTCAGTCTCTGATATCCTTTCTTTTGCTTGATCGATTGGCTATTGATACTTGTGTATACTTCACGAAATTCTCATGCTGTTTTTTCAACTCCATCAGGTCATTTATCTTCTTCTCTAAACTGGTTATTCTAGTTAGTAATTCCTCTAACCTTTTCTTCAAGGTTCTTAACTTCCTTGCATTGGGTTAGAACATGCTCTTTTAGCTTGGAGGAGTTTGTTATTACCCACCTTCTGAAGCCTACTTCTGTCAAATCATAAAACTCATTCTCTGTCCAGTTTTTTTCTCTTGCTGGCAAGGAGTTTTGATCCTTTGTAGGAGGAGAAGAGGCATTCTTTTTGTTGAATTTTCAGCCTTTTTTTCCCCTGGTTTTTCCTCATCTTCATGGATTTATCTGCCGTTGGTCTTTGATGTTGGTGACTTTCAGATGAGATCATTATTTGGACATCTTTTTGTTGATGTCGATGCTATTCCTTTCTGTGTGTTAGTTTTCCTTCTAACAGTCAGGCCCCTCTGCTGCAGGTCTGCTGGCATTTGCTGGAGGTCTACTTTAGACCCTGTTTGCCTGGGTATCACCAGCAGAGGCTGCAGAATAGCAAAGATTGCTGTCTGTTCCTTCCTCTGGAAGCTTCATCTCAGAGAGGCACCCACCAGATGCCAGCTGGAGCTGTCCCGTACGAGATGTCTGTTGACGCCTGCTGGGAGGTGTCTCCCAGTCAGGAGACATGAGTGTCAGGGACCCACTTGAAGAAGCAGTCTGTCCCTTAGCAGAATTCGAGTGCTGTGCTGGGAGATCTGCTGCTCTTTTCAGAGCCAGCAGGCAGAAATGTTTAAGTCCACTGAAGTTGCACCCACAGCCACCTCTTCCCCCAGGTGCTCTTTCCCAGGGAGATGGGTGTTTTTTCTATAAGCCCTTGACTGGAGCTGCTGCCTTTCTTTCAGAGATGCCCTGCCCAGAGAGGAAGAATCTAGAGAGGCAGTCTGGCTACAGCGGCTTTGCCGAGCTGCGGTGGGCTCTGTCTAGTTCAAATTTCCCAGCAGCTTTGTTTACACTGTGAGGGGAAAACCACCTACTCAAGCCTCAGTAATGGTGCACGCCCCTGCCCGCACCAAGCTTGAGCATCCCAGGTCAATTTTGGACTGCTGTGCTGGCAGCAAGAATCTCAAGCCAGTGGATATTAGCTTGCTGGGCTCTGTAGGGGTGGGATCCACTGAGCTAGACCACTTGGCTCCCTGGCTTCATCCCCCTTTCCAGAGGAGTGAACAGTTCTGACTCGCTGGTGTTCCACATGCCTCTGGTGTACAAAAAAAAAAAACTCCTGCAGCTAGCTCACTGTCTACCCAAACAGCCACCCAGTTTTGTGCTTAAAACCCAGGTTATTGGTGGTGTAGGCACCCGAGGGAATCTCCTGATCTGTGGGTTGTGAAGACCGTGGGAAAAAGTGTAGTATCTGGGCCAGATTGCACTGTTCCTCATGGCACAGTCCCTCATGGCTTCCCTTGGCTAGGGGAGGGAGTTCCCTGGCCCCTTGTGCTTCCCAGGTGAGGCAATGTCCCCCCTTGCTTCTGCTTGCCATCCAGGGACTGTACTCACTGTCTAACCAGTCCCAATGAGTTGAGCATGGTACCTCAGTTGGAAATGCAGAAATCACCCACCTTCTGCATTGATCTCCCTGGGAGCTGCAGAGCGGAGCTCTTCCTATTCAGCCATCTTGCCAGCCATCGAAGGTCTTTTATTTTGCTTTTTGGTAACTGTCCTAACAGATTTTAAATTTTTTTGAAATAATTCCTATGCTATTATTGTTAAGTTTTGGTTTGCTTAGAAGAAAAAACTGAGATTAAAATATTTTTTTCTTAATTAAGGTTATACATCTGTGTATCTTTCTGTATGTGCTTTTAAAGTCCTTATGACATTGAGTTACAGGTCTTTGACTCCTTGATCTGAAAAGGACACCAAGTCCTGCTAAATCTTAAACACTGACAGCAATTAAAACCTCATCTTCAGGCCCAGTCAAAGGCACTAATCAAACTAAACTGCATTTCTGAGACACAGGGCCAGAAATTAAAGCTATTCAACTCCTCAAGGCCCAGGGACTACTGCGGAAGAGATGGGCATGTGAGATTGTAAGACACAATTTTGAGAGATAAAATAAGTTCAATTTCTCTATAAATTAACCATTAATACCGAAGGCATACTGATGCATGACCAGCATATTGGCCTTTATGTCAGATTAACAAGCTTTTCTTGAAGCATTAACCAACTTTTTAATAAAGGTTATGAAAGGATTGTGGAAATTATATCTTTTATGGTCAAGGTGATTAGAATTTAAAGATTGTTTATAAAATTTTGACAAACAAGTTTAATTGGCTTTATGCTGCTTTATTAGGGCTTATTGTTTGGAAAATTAAGTATCTTCTCTTAAAGAATGAAGTTTTGCCTTTTTTTGAAATCCTTGAGTTATTACTTTTGTTAAAGGGATGACTTATTTTACAATGACCTGGGATCCTATTTTGTGATAACAAGTGTTTTAAATCTTTGATATTTGACAAATTTTCCAAAATGAATTTGTAAACTGTGTTTTTTTTTTTTTCTGACCTAACTATTCCTTTAAGATATTACTTTCCCTAAAGTTTTAAAATGACATATTTGGCTTGTTTGGTATAAAAATCATACAGGAAGCACTGTAAAATATGAAATGATGTTTAGTCTTTTCTGGGCTGTATTTGTGTAAATATGTTATTGGTATGTGTTCCAACATTTGGGAAGCTCCTATAATTATAATATGACTTAGTGTACATTATCAGAAATAATTATAATTGCTATGTTAAATTTTGTTTGCCAGAGAGATAACAAATTTCCTCCTTAATTGTATCTTTGACTATAGCTACCCTAAAGCTTTTTGTCATCCACAAACAAATGTTGTTTTGTTTTTGTTCTCTTTAGAAGGTGGTTTTATAATCAGCTATAAAACTAACAGGTATTCTTGAATGTAGGGTTCTGATAAC
Source organism: Homo sapiens (assembly GCF_000001405.40). Taxonomy (NCBI): domain Eukaryota; kingdom Metazoa; phylum Chordata; class Mammalia; order Primates; family Hominidae; genus Homo; species Homo sapiens. The sequence goes on along the minus strand of NC_000024.10, from coordinate 3,997,803 downwards.
TTTGGTGATTGTGACATTAGAATAGAGAAAAAACTTTCAGTACTCTCATACACAGCTGGAATGTTTACGAATATCATGCAGAACAGAAGTTAACTGCGTTGACTAAACTAATAGAAGACTAAAGTAATTTTTTGACTTTTTTACTGAAAACAATGTTGACCCTTTTATTGCTTTTCACAGTCAAGACAAGTTTTTTTTGAGCTATTTACGGGTTGTAGCAATTGAGAAACTATACTCCTATCAACAAAATTGGAAGCATATTTGTTTCTCTCTACCTCATTTCTCCAGGATTTGAAAACTATTTGTGAGTGTTCTTAGTGTATGGCAAATAGTTATTTGCATAAGTGCACTAAGAATGTTTTATTTTGCAACAGGACACAATTGGATAAACTGGTTATTTTATCAAGACTTTGACTAGACTCATATGATTTCCTTTAAGGAATCAAACTTGACTTATAGAGCCAATAAAAGCCTTTTGGAAAAACTGGCCTCATACCTTTTCTCCACAGTCTCTGTACAGGATTTCTGACTGTGGTAAGTAAAGAAGGTCATGTTCTCATAGGTTTCAAGTTGTCCCACATTTCTGGAGGGACCAATGTACATCTTACATATATTTATTGATGTCTCATGTCTTTCTAAAATGTATAAAATCCAGCTGTGCTCCAACCACCTTGGGCACATGTCATTAGGACCTCTTGAGGCTGTGTCATGGAAGTGCATCCTCAACCTTGGCAAAATAAACTTTTTCAATTTACTGAGATCTGTCTCAGATATTCAGGGTTCACACCTCCTAGTGACATTTGGCTGGTAAGGGAAGAGCACCTCAAGTTAGCATGTGCACAACTCCAGTAAACACTCTTCATATTCTCACCTCCCCAGTGCTGGCTGGCCACTGTGCATGCAGAGAGTCCACCCCTAAGAAAATATCAGGGTAGAAGAGACACAAGACCCAGAAGTATGCCAACATATAAACCCCAAGTCAAAAGTTCAAACTGCACACTTGTCTTTCAAGTAACCCACTTGGTCTACTTCCAAATGTAGTTTTCTTCCTTTTGTTTCTGCTACAGAGCTTTTTAATAAAGTTTTATTTCTGCTCTACACTTGGCCTTGTTCTCTTCTGCCTTATGCCAGTCAAATTCTCTTTTCTGAGGAGTGAAGAATTGAGGTAGCTGAAGACCCATATGGATTTACTGCCAGTAACAAAGTAACTCACAAACAGAAAATCAAATACTGCATGTTCTCACTTATAAGTTATAGCTAAGCTATGGTTATCCAAAGGTATACAGAGTGGTATAATGGACATTGGAGACTCAAAAAGGGAAGAAATGGGAGAGGGAGTGAGGAATGAGAAATTACTTATTGTGTATAACGTACATTATTTGGGTGATGGGTATACTAAAAGCCCAGACTTCACCATTGTACAATTTATCCATGTTAATAAAAACCACTTATACTCCTAAAGTTATTAAAATAGAAATATTAAGCAATTTAAAATACATTTTAAAAAGTAAGTCTTTGTTTTAGTACCTACGGGGGTTTAATATTATGTTGTGATAACAGGAAGAGCATAGAAAGAAATTTGTATGATCACTGTGGTAGGGCTGTGAAAAATAAATTATTGACACTTGTCATTTAAGAAATTGCTAAATTAGAATAGTACAAAATGCATATAGAATGTGTATTTAGGAACATTCTACTAACATTGGCTAATCCAGTTTTCTCTCCCTGGTTTTAAGTTTCTTTGGTAACTGAAATTACTACCCTTTGCTCCGATTCTGGGTGCAATGGTTTGTAGGCAACAATGTCTAACGTAGAAATCTTCTCTTTTTTTTGAGACAGGATCTTACTCTGTTGCCCAGCCTGAATTGCAGTGGCTGAATCAGAGCTCACTGCAGCCTTGATCTCCTGGACTCAAACAATTTCCCCTTCTCAGCCTCCCAACTAGCTGGGACTACAGGTGCATGCCACCATGTCCAGCTGATTTTCTTTTTTTGACTTTTAGTAGGGATGAGATCTTGTTATGTTGCCCAGGCAGGTTTTCAACTCCTGAACTCAAGTGATCTTTCCACTTTGGCCTCCCAGTGTGCTGGCATTATAGGCATGAGCCACTGCACCTGGCCTAGACATAAATCTTATGCAGACTTGGAGGGTTGCTATTTGAAGTAGACTTGGTCCAAGAGAGGGCGATCTTTACTAAAATGGGGACTTGATTCTTTCCTATTTATTTATTTAGTTATTTTTGAGACAGAATCTCACTCTGTTGCCCAGGCTGGAGTGCAGTGGCATGATCTTGGCTCATTGCAAGCTCTGACTCCCGGGCTCAAGTGATTCTTGTGCCTCAGCCTTCTCCTGAGTAGCTGGGATTACAGGTGCCTGCCACCACACCCGGCTAATTTTTGTATTTTTCCTAGAGACGGGGTTTTACCACATTGGTCAGGCTGGTCTCGAACTCCTGACCTCAAGTAATCCACCCACCTTGGCCTCCCAAAGTGCTGCAATCACAGGCATGAGCCACCATGTCCTGCCTGATTCTGTCCTTTAAAGAAGCACCATGACAAGTTTGGTGTTTGTTTGTTGGCTTTCCTTTTTTTTTTTTTTTAGATGGAGTCTCATTCTGTTGTCTGTTGCCCAGGCTGGAGTGCAGTGGCGCAATCTCAGCTCACTGCAAGCTCCGCCTCCCAGGTTCATGCCATTCTCCTGCCTTAGCCTCCCAAGTAGCTGGGACTACAGGCGCCCACAACCACACCTGGCTAATTTTTTTTTTTGTATTTTTAGTAGAGACAGAGTTTCACCGTGTTAGCCAGGATGGTCTCGATCTCCTGACCTCATGATCTGCCTTTCTCAGCCTCCCAAAGTGTTGGGATTACAGGTGTAAGCCACCACGCCCAGCCTGCTTCCCTTTCTAATTACCTCTACTAAAGCTATTGATTTAAACTTTATAATGGAATACTAGAATGAGGTGTTTGTATTTATAATTGTAACTCACTTAAAGGCTGGCCCTGTGTCAATTTCATGTATATTTTCTTTAAAAAAGCACCCTTTTAATATTTATTGAAAATATTAATTTACTTATAGAGGGCAAAATTATTTATATCAAGGTCCATAATTGAGTCAATCATTACATATAATATTCTGATATTTCTCAAACATAAACCTGTTAATAATGAGAAGCATAGAAATGCTAAATCAAAATAATAAAAAGCAGTTAGTCTACTACATTTCTAGCTAATCCAGAAATGTCTTTTTAGTCTTGCATGCTTTCTGAAAACATATATGCATTCAATCTGATAAATAATTATGGTGAAACAAAATTTTAAATATTTTTTGAATCTATAGAGGGATACATTTTAAACACAATACAGAAATTGGTTATTATTGACAGACAAGTGTTGGTTTTGATAAATGCATTTTTTAAAGGGTATATACTTGAATCATTTTACAGCTTTGCTTTTTATAGGTAAGAGAGGACATATTTTCAATTTATTCACAGCTAGATTTAATTGTGACTAAAACACATAACAGAAAATAGTTTATAATATAAAGAGCTTTCCAAAAATTTCAATGCTAGGAAATATAATCTAATAATTTATCATTGTATCTGAAGTGAAGCTTTCTAAGTTACTTATGAAATGGGATGGATGGTGTGAAGGGGGAGAAAGAAGAAAATGGAATTTAATCAGTGAAGAATGCCTGCTAGATTAAGAGAAAAATAAAATCCTTAGTGAGACTAAAAAACCTGGGAAAATCCTGATTTCCTTAAGACCTTTAGTGATACCACAAAGATACACATAAATTCACACATTGGTACACCCACCCATACTTTTTGTGAGCCACACAATCTTCTGTCATTGAGGCTGCACTAGTAAGAAGCAGACACATTCCATTTCTTCATGGAACATACAATCTGATAAGGAAAATAGTTATCACTCAAAAAATAATAAATACACAAGTGGACAAGGAAACTAGGTAATTGTTATAAAGATAAAAATACATGGTAATATAAGATAAAATAGTAGAAAACAGAATCTCTAAGTCATCTACAAAGGTTTTCAGACAAAAATGAAATTTAGTTGAAAATGGAATAAGTAGCGTTAGAGAAAGATTACAAGAAAAGTTCACTGTAGCTAGTTAAGATAGCATATACAGAGGGAAAATAACAAGTATGAGAAGTTGAAAGACTACATATAAAAGAGGCAGAACAAGATGAAAGAATATAAAGCTCCATCCATCATCCACCCCCGACACCCTCCTGCAAAGACACCAATTTAATAACTATTTACTTGAGCAAAGCACCACAGGTGAGCACTCTCAGTACCTGCTTTTAACTTTGTATTGTTACATGATGCACTGAGGAGGAAAAAAAAGTATTGAATTGCTGATGCCACCCCTGCCACACCCACTGGCAGCAGCATGGTGCAGAGAGCATTTCTGTGTCTGGGGGGATGGAGAACACAGCAAACTGTGAGGCACTGAACTCAGTGCTGCCCTGTTAGAGCAGAAAGGAAAACTAGGCCAAACTCAGATGGCACTCACCCATGGTGTCAGCATATAAACTAGTGGTGGGAGTAGAAAGGAAAATTAGGCCAAACTCAGCTGACACTCACCCATGGTGTCAGCATATAAACCATAGTGGGCGCATATAAACCAGTCCTTGCTAGAGGGGAATTGTAGATCCCAGGATCCCAGGGGATGGAACTTGAGTTCCTGCAAACCTCACAGCCCCAGGCTGTGCTCTGTGTCTCTAAGTAAACTTGAAAGACAGTCTAGACCATAAGGACTGTAACTCTTAGGTGAGTCCCAGGGCTGAACTGGGCCCAGAGACAATGAGCTGGGGGTGACATGATCTACTGAGACACCAGCTAACATGGATGTGGGAGTGCTGGCATCACTCCACACCTAGCCCCAGGCTGCACAACTTGTGGCTCCAAGAGATGCCTTTTCTTTTCAACTGAGGAGAGTAGAGAAAATAGTGGGGAGGACTTTGTCTTGCATCTTAGATATGAGCTCAGCCACAGCAGAATAGGGTACTGATCACAGTTTTGAGGCCCCCCATTCCAGGCGCTGGATCCCAGACATTTCTAGACACAGCCTAGGCCACAAGCAAACCTACTGCCTTGAAGAAAAAGACCTAGTCTTGGAACCATTTATTACCTGCTTACTGAAGAGCCCTTGAGCTCTGAATAACCAAGAGTGATATCCACGTACTACAATGAAGGCCTCAAGTGAAACTCTGAGACTTGCTGACACAAGGTACCAGCTCAGCCATAGTGTGGGAGAGCACCAAGTAGAATCTTGGGGTTTCCAATTCCAGAACATGATTCTTGGATAACATTTCTGGACATGCTCTGGGAAAGAGGGGAGCTCACTGCTCTGAACAGTGAGTCCCAGGCCAGACAGCATTCATCACAAGCTGACTTAAGAGACCTTGGGCCTTACGGAAACATCAGCAGTAGTCTGGCAGTACTCCCCATGGGCTTGTAGTGGTGTTGGCCATGAGATGTGACTGCTCTGCCTTTGGAAAGAGGAAGGAAGAATAAGAAAGACCCCATCTTGTGGTGTGAGTGCCAGGTCAGCAGCAATACAATAGAATACCAGGTAGACGTCTAAGTTTTTACTCTAATCCCTCACTTCTGGAAAGAACCTCTGGTCCCATTAGGTGCTGGGGTAACTCACTGCCATGAGTGAAAGGACACAGGCCTGGCTGGCTTTGCCACATGCTGATTGTCAAGGCCTTTAGTAAACAGGCCTTAAGCTAACATAGTTAGTAGCCAGGAAAGTGGTTACAGCAGGTCTTGGGGAAGACCTAGTGTTATGCTGGCTTCATGTCTGACTCAGTACAGTCCTAGTGATGGTGGCCACAGGGGTACTTGTGTTACTTCACTCCCAGATTTAGGTGGCTCAAAACAGCATAAGATACTCAATTTCTTTGTGAAAAAGTAAGAGAAGAGAACAAGAGTCTCTGCCTGGTAATCGAGAGAATTTCTCTGGATCTTTTACAAGATGATTGAGGTGGTACCTCTAGGAGTCTGCAAAAACAATAACATTACTGGGCTTGAGGCATTCCCAAAAGCATATATGGTGTTATGAAAACACACATCCTTTTGAATATCTGGAAAACCCTTCCAAGGACAGGTACAAACAAATGAAGACAGTGAGGACTGCAATAAATACCTAACTCTTCAACACCCAGACACAGACAAACATCCACAAATATCAAGATGATCCAGGAAAACATGACCTCACCAAATGAACTAAATAAGGTGTCAAGAACCAATGCTGGAGAAATAGAGATATATGACTTTTCAGACAAAAAAGCTTAAAATAATTGATTTGAGGAAATTCAAAGTAATTCAAGATAACACAGACAAGGAATTCAGAATCCTCTCAGATAAATTAACAAAGAGATTGAAATAAGTAAATAGAATAAAGCAGAAATTCTGGAGCTAAAAACATGCAACTGGCATACTGAAAAATTCATCGTCTTTTAAGAGCAGAATTGATCAAGCAGAAGAAAAAATTAATGAGCTTAGAGACAGGCTACTTGAAAATACACAGTCATAGGAGACAAAAGAAAAAAAAAACAACAAAGCATGCCTACAGAATCTAGAAAATGGCCTCAAAAACATCTAAGAGTAGTTGGCCTTAAAGAGGAGGGAGAGAAAGAATAGTGGTTTATTCAAAGGGATAATAACAGAGAACTCCCAAGCCTAGGGGAAGATATCAATATCCAAGTACAAGAAGGTTGTTGAACACCAAGCAGATTTAACCCAAAGAATACTACCTCAAGGCATTTAATAATCAAACTCTCAAAGGTCAAGGATGAAGAAGGGATCCTAAAAGCAGTAAGAAAAAAATAAATAAATAACACACAATAAAACTCCAAAATGACTGGCAGCAGACTTTTCAGTGGAAAACTTACCTCACCAGGAGAGAGTGCCAGGAGAGTGTGGCATGATATATTTAAAATGCTGAAGAAAAAGGAAAACTTTTACCCTAGAATAATATATATTGAGGAAATAGCATTCGAACATGAAGGAGAAATGAAGACTTTCCCAGAAAAATCAAAGCTGAGGTATTTCATTATCACCAGACCTGTCCTACAAGAAATGCTAATGGCAGTACATTAATCAGAAAGAAAAGAATGTTAATGAGCAAAACATAATCACCTGAAGGTACAAAAATCACAGGTAATATTAAGTACATGAAAAAAACACAGAATATTCTAACATTGTAAATATGGTATGAAAACCACTCTTATTCTAAGTAAAAAGATTAAAGGATGAACCAATCAAAAATAATAACTACGACAACTTTTCAAGACATAGACAGTGCAGTGAAATATAAATAATAAATAAAAAGTTAAAAAGCAAGGAGATGAATTTCAGTCATTGAGTTTATTTAGTTTTTTATACTCGTTTGTTTAAGCAAATTGTGTTAAGTTGTTATCAGCTCAAAATAATGAGTTTTAAGATAGCATTTGCGAGCTTCATGGTAACCACAAACCAGAAAACATACAATGGATACACGGACAATTAATAGCAGGAAACTAAATCATATTGAGATGATTATCTTCACGAATGTAATATAGGAAAAAAGTAAGGAAGGTATAAAAAATTACATAAAACAACAAGAAAACAAATAACAACAAGGCTGAAGTCTTTACTTGTTAATAATAACTGAATGGAAATGGACTAAACTATCCTAACAAAAGTCATAGAGTAGCTGAATGGATGAAAGAACAAGACCCATTGATCTGTTGCCTACAAGAAACACACTTCCCATATAAAAACATGCATAGGCTAAAAATAAAAAGATAGAAAAACCTTCCAATCCAGTGAAAACCACAAAACAGCAGGAGTTGCTATACTTACATCAGACAAAATGGATTTCAAGACAGAAATTATAAAAAGAGACAAGGTCATTATATAATAATAAAGGAATCAATTCAACAAGATGATATAACAATTTAAAATATATATGTACCCAACATTGGAACACCCACTATATAAAGAAAATTATATTAGCGCTAAAGAGAGAGAGAAGCCCCAATACAATAATAGCTAGAGACTTCAACATCCTACTTTCAGTATTAGACAGATCTTTCACACAGAAAATCAATAAAGAAACATCAGACTCAGTCTGCACTATGGAGCAAATGGACCTAATAGATATTTACAGAATATTTAATCAAAAAGCTGCTGAAAACATATTATTTTACTCAGCACATGGACCATTCTCAAGAATAAACCATATGTTAGGTTACAAAACAAGTCTTAAAACACCAACAAAAAAAGAATATCAAGTATTTCTGTGACAACAACAGAAAAAACAAGAACTCAATAACAAGAGGAATTTTGGAAACTATACAAATACATGGAAATTAAATAATATGCTCCTGAAGGGCCAGTGGGTTGATGAAGAAATTAAGAAGAAAATGGAATAATTTCTTGAAATGAATAATAATGCAAATACAACATACCAAAACCTATGGAATACAGCAAAAGTAGTACTCAGAGGTAAGTTTATAGCTACAAGTGCCTACATCAAAAATGAAAAAAAAAAGTCAAATAAACAATCTAATGATGCATCATAAAGGACCAAAAAAGTAAGAAGAGAAGAAAAGAAATAATAAGGATTAGAGCAGAAATAAATGAAAAGGATGAAAACAGTAGAAAAGATGAGTGAAACAAAAAGTTGGTTTTTTGAAAAGTTAAATATAATTTACAAGCCTTTAGACAGACTGAGAATAAAGCAGAGAAGATCAAAATAAACAAAATCAGAATTGAAAAAAGGAGACATTACAACTGATGCTGCAGAAACTCAAAGCATCATTAGTGGCTGCTATGAGCAACGAAGTGCCAATAAATTGGAAAATATAGATGAAATGGAAAAATTCCTAAACACATACAACCTATCAAAATTGAACCAGGAAGAAATCCAAAACTTGAACCAATAAATAACAAGTAATGGGATCATAGCCATAATAAAAAGTTTCCTAGTAAAGTAAAGCCTGGGACCTAATGGCTTCACAACTGAATTCCATCAGACATTTAAAGAACAACAAATACCAATCCTACTCAAAGTCTTCCAAAAAAATAGAGGAGGAGTGAATCCTTGCAAACTCATTCGATGAGGCCAGTATTACCCTTCTACAAAAACAAACAAACAAAAAACCAATACATTAAAAAAGAAAACCACAGGGCAATATCTCTGTTCACTATTGATGCAAAAATCCTCAACAATGTACTAGCAGACAGAATTCCACAATATAATAAAAAGATTATTCATCATTAACTAGTGGTATTTATCCTCGGGATGTGAAGATGGTTCAATATGTGGAAATCAATCAATGTGATAAAAATGATATCAACAGGCTGATCAAAGACATATGATTATTTCAATTGATAATGAAAAATCATTTGTTACAACTCAACACCCCTTCATGATACAAACCCTGAAAAACACATGTTATAGAAGGAACATACTTCAGCATTATAAAAGCCATGTAAGACAGATCTACAGCTAGTATCACACAGAATGGGGAAAAGCTGAAAACCTTCTATCTATGATTTGGAACTCAACAAACAAAGATACCCACTTTTACCACTGCTTTTCAACATAGTACTCGAAGTTCTAGCTAGACCAATCAGACAAGAGAAAGAAATAAAGAACATTCAAATTGGAAAAGAAGAAGTCAAATTATTGTTTCTTTCTGATGATATAATCTTATATTTAGAAACACCTAAATAATCCATCAAAAACCTTACAACTGGTAATCAAATTCAATAAATTTGTAGGATTCAAAATCAACATTCAAAAATCAGTAACATTTCTATATGCCAAAAGTGAAAATCTGAGAAAGAATTTTAAAAAATAATAATCCCATTTACAATACCACACATAAAATGAAATACCTAGGAGTTAACTTCACCAAAGTGAAAGTTCTCTATAACAAAAAAGGTTTTCACTGAGAAAAGAAATGTAAGAGGACACCAAAAAATGGAAATATATTCTATGTCTATAGATTAGAATAACCAATATTGTTAAAAATGTCACTACTACCCAAAACAATCTACAGATTCAATGCAATCTATATCAAAACACCAACATCATTCTGCACAGGTATATTTTTAAAAAACCCTAAAATTTATAGGAAACCAAAAAAGACCCAGAATAGACAAATCTATCCTAAGCCAAAAGAACAAAACTGGAGAAATCACATTACTTGACTTCAAATAATACTACAGAGGTATAGTAACCAAAACAGCATGATACTTGTGTAAAACAGACATGCCAAACAGTAGAACAGACTAGAGAACCCAGAAACAAATTCATACACCTATAGTTAACTCATTCTTGACAAAGATGCTGAGAACATACACTGGGGAAAGACAGTCTCTTCAATAAACGGTGCTGTGGAAACTGGATATCCATATATAGACTGATGATACTAGACCCCTATCTGTCACAGCATACAAAAATGAAATCAAAAGACATTAAAGACTTAAATCTAAAAGCTACCTCACACTATAAATCTACTACAAGAAAACATTGGGAAATATATCCAGGACATTAGTCTGGGTGGAAATTTCTTGAGCAATATCCCACAAGCACAGGCAACCAAAGCAAAAATGCACAACAAATAGGATCACCTCAAGTTAAATACTTCTTCACAGCAAAGAAAACAACAAAGTGAAAAAAATCCCACAGAATGGGAGAAAATATTTGCAAACTACCCATCTGATAAGGGACTAATAACCAGAAAATATAAGAAGCTCAAACAACTGTATAGGTAGAAACCTAATAACCAAATTAAAATAATGGGTTAAAGATTTGAATATTTATTCTCAAAAGAAGACATACAAATGGAAAGCAGGCATATGAAAAGGTTTTCAACATCACTGATCATCAGAGAAGTGCAAATGAAAACTGCAATGAGATATCATCTCATCTCATTTAAAATGGCATATATTCAAAAGACAGGCAATAACAAATGCTGGCAGAGATGTGGAGAAAAGGAAACCCTTGTACACTGTAACACAGGCAAATTATATTACATTTGTTCCATAGAATACTGCTCAGCAATAAAAAAGTAGACTCATTATGCATGAAACACATTGGATTAATCTCCACAGAATTACACTCAGTGAAGAAAGACCAATCCCCCAAAATCACATATTGTTTAATTCCATTCATTAAACATAAAATAACTGATTTATAGAAATGAAGATTAAGTTAGTGCCTGCCAGACATTAAGAACAAGATAGGGGGTAAGGAGCAGCAGGAAAGTGGCTGTAATTAAAAAGGGCAACATGAGGGATCCTGCAGTAAGTGTTCTGATTCTTGACTGTGTTGGTGGATATGTGTGTGTGTGTGTGTGTGTGTGTACAGGTGTGTGTGTAAAATCCAGTCTGGGTTTTAGAAACTTTCTAATGGACTCTTTAAAAAAGAGACATGTCGTAAATATATGAATACAGAAATTTCAAAATTAGGCAATGGAAAGTATTTATCATGCAAACACTAAAACAAAATGAATAGACCTATAATATTAGACAAATGGGTTTAAAGCAAAGAGTTTCACTAGAAAAAAGAAAGCTGTTACATGATATTAAATGAGTCAATTGATGAGGAATATATTATAATTAAATATATATGCAAATAAAAATCTTTTCAAAATAAATTTTAAGACTTCAAAAGAAAGTCAGAATCAGAATGAGAGACTTCATCATAACTCAATTGCTGACAGAATAATCTAGCATAAGAACATTAGTAATAAGATAGAAGATCTGAACAATATAATTAACAAATATGACCTATTTAAGATGTAAATATATATGTGTGTATGTGTGTAAACATTATATACATATACATACACACATGAATGAATTCTATCTATAAATCCTTATATAGGTATACCTACCTATGCCTATCTATATAGAGAGAAAATGTGTATGTTTGTATAAAAGCCATATAGAGACATATAGAGGCATATATATATGTATTTACACATATACACACAGACTATATATATATATATAAAGAGAGATGTATGTAGACATATATAGCCATGCATAGACAATTATAGATATAAATGTAGTTATGGATATATAGATATATATTTGGTTATCTACTGGATTACCTGAATAGATACATTTCTATAAACACATAATCTATCCAGATAGAACAAAAAAGATGTAGAAAGCTTGAACAAATTAATAACAAAGAGATAGAATATGTAATCAAACATTTTCTAACAAAAAAAAGCCAGCACTATATGGCTTTAAAAAGGAATTCCACCAAACATTTAAGAAAGAATGAACATGAATTATTTTAAGCTCTCCCCTAAAAATAAAAGAGGGAACACTGAAAACTCACTTCATGAGGACTGCATCACTCTGATTCCAAAGCCAGACAAGGATGATATCAGAAAATAAAACTACAGAACAATATTTCTGATGAACATAGATGTGTTTATCCTAAGTAAAATACTTTCAAACCAAATTCTGCAGCACATTAAAGGGATCATATACTGTAACTAAAAGGGATTTATTCCTAGAATTAAAGGATGTTTCAACATACAAACATTAACCAATTCAATATATGACATTAGTAGAACAAAAGGCAAAAACCTCATAATTATCTCAAAAGATTAACAAAAGGCATTAAACAAAATGTAACATCCCTTCATGACAAAAAAAAAAGTCAACACTATAGGTATAAAAGAAATATACCACAACACAATAAAGGCCATATGTGAAAAACCCACAGTTAACATCAAAATTCATGGAGAAAAAATGAAATAGTTTCTTCTAAGATTCAGTACATGGCAAAGGTGTCCGCTCTTATCCCTGTTATTTAACATCGTATTAGGAGTTCTAACCAGAGCAATCAGGCAGGAAAAAGAAACAAAAACATCTACAGCAAAAGATTGGATGTAAAAATATCTTTGTTTGCAGATGATATGACTGTATAAGTAGAAAACACTGAAGACTCCATGGAAACCTGTTATAACTAATAAAAGAAATCAACACAATTATGGAATACAAAATCAAAATACAATAATCAGTTGCAATTCTATACACCAACAACAAACTATCCAAAAGGGAAATAAGAAACCTATCCTATTTGCATTAACAATAAAAATAACAAAAAATTAAGATACTTAAGAATTAACTAAAGAGGTAAAGACCTATACACTCAATATTATAAAACATAAATGAGGAAACTTTTAAAAGACAGAAATAAGTAAAAATGCATTCCATGTTAATATATTGGAAGTATTAATACTGTCATAATGTCCATATAAACCAAGGCAATCTACACACTCAATGCAATTTCTATCAGAATTCCAAAGGCATATTTTTCAAAAATAGAAAATAATTCTAAAATTCTAACAGAACCACAAAATCCCTGAATAGCTAAAGCAATCTTGAGCAAAAACAGAGCAGGAGATATCATGCTTTTTGACTTCATATTATATTACAATGCTGTAGTAAAGAAAACGATGTGGTACTGACATATAAACAGATATATAGATCAATAGAAGAAAAGAGAGAATGCTGAAATAAACCCACATATTTAGAACCAACTGTTCTCCCATCAGGGTGCTAAGAACACACAATGGAGAAAGGATAGTCTTTTTAGCAAACAGTGCTAGGAAAATCAGATATCCATACACAAAACAATGAAACTGAACCCCTATTACACAACATACATAAAAACAAACTCTAAATAGATTAAAGACTTAAACATAAAACTTGAAACCATACAAATCCTAGCAAAAAAACCTTGGAAAAAGCCCTTCCTGACATTTTTTTTTAGCAATAATATTTTGGATATTATACCAAAACACAGGCAACAAAAACACAAACAGACAAGTGGGATTATACCAAACTAAACAGCATCTTTGCAACAATGGAAACCATCAACAAAATGAAAAGGCAACTTACAGATTGAGAAAAAAATTGCAAATTATATATCTGATAAGGGATTAATATCCAAAATATGTAAGGTACACTTGCAATTCAATACCAAGAATACAAATAATCCAATTAATAAATGAACAAAAATCCACAAAACAGAAATTCACATGGCCAACATGCATATGAAAAGGTGTTCATCTAATCATCAGGGAAATGCAAATCAAAACCACAATGAGATATCATCTCACACCTGTTATAAGAGTGACTATTAAAAAAAAAAGATAAGTGTTGGCAAGGATGTGAAGAAAAGAAGCTCTTGTATATTATCTCACACCATACACAAAAATAAACTCAAAATACATGACAGGCATAAAGGTAAAGCTTAAAACTGCTAATTGATACAGCCCAAATGAAAAACAGCACAGTAGTTCCTCAAAAAACTAAAAATAGAAATACCACTTTATCCAGCAATACCAATTCTGGGTATGTACTCAAATAATGGAAAACAGAATCATGAAGAGAGCCCTGAACTCCCCTTTTAATTGCAGCATTATTCACAATAGCCAAAATATGAAAACAGCCTAAATGTCCTTCAACAAATGAACACACACACACACGTGCGTGCACACACACACACACACACTATTCAGCCTTTATAAAAAAGAAAATCCTGCCATTTATTACAGCATAGAAAGAGCTGGAGGACTCTCTACTAAGTGAAATAAACAAGACACAGAAAGAGAAACACTGCATGATCTCCCCTCTTTTTAAGATTTAAAAACTTCCTGAAGAAAAATATACTTATAAAATATGTATTAAATAATGATGAAATCAATTAAAAACCTGGAATAGTCTGTTAGAGATAATCAGTTAAAAATATTTGCTGCACATGTATTCCAGTACTTGAAGTATAATAAAAAAAATATATTTACATAATGTGAATACAGCACTGTGCAAATATGACTTTACAAGTAAATCTCCAGTTTCTGAGAAAAGATTATCCCGAAATCTTTTTGAATGTTTTTCTCTTCCTTCAGTTTCCAGATTGCTTTAGAAGCTTTTTTGTGTTGATTTTCAACATTGTCTTGGATCTCATTGAGTTTCCTCGCAATCTATGCTTTGAATTCTTTATCCGCCATTTCCAAGCTTTCCTTTTATTTACTGATTATTGCTAGAGAGCTAGTGTGATCCTTTGGTGGTGTCATTACATTCTGATTTTTTATGGTACCAAAATGTTTGCTCTGGTTACTTCTCATCTGGAGATGCTGGCGTTTCTAATTTCTATAGTTACTTTTATTCAGGTAGGATTTTTTTCTTTTTATTTCTTTCTCTAAATATTATTGGTTTCTTTTCTTTCCTTCTTTTTCCTATTGCTCCCCTCCCTAGTGTGTGTGACTGTAAGGAATGCTGGATAGGGTTTGTTGGTTTTGCTCCTACAGCCCTATGCTCTTCTTTCAGCAGGTTTTATGTTGGGCTGTGCAGTTCAACGTACAATCCAGTAGGTAAAAACTTACAGGTAAGAGCTGCCTGTGACCCATGCAGCTGGGTATACACTTGATCCTTGTTTACTGTCTGTTGCCTAGGCAATGGGCTATTTTGCAAAATGCCCAGGAGTCTGACCTCCCTGCTTAACCCCAGGGTTCTGAGGTTACAATGGTCAGGGTCTATCTACAGGTCCCCTCATGGCAGGCACAAGCAACTGCACTGAGAAAGCATTCGCTGGATGACCACCAAACACTCAGAGGTGTGCCTAAGCCTGGAACTGGGGAATTTCCTCAGCCTCAAATTCTTTGCATAGGAATCAGGAGTGGAATAAACTCCTAATCCAGGAGTAAGCACACCAAATGCCTGGGGATCTGCCTGGGCATGTAGCAGAGAAGGCCCCCCTGGCATGAGGATCTCTGAACAGGAAGGGTGAGGTGGCTCTGGCCACTAATCCAGGCAAGTTGGTGTTCCAAATGCTTGGAGATTTGCCCAGGCATGGGGCAGAGAGGGTGTCACTGCACCACAATCTATGTCCTAGAAGGGTCAGGTGGCTCAGTCTGCTGATCTAGATGAGGGATTGCTCAAAATTCCTGGAGATACTTTTGGGCCTGAAGCAGATAAGGACTTCTTGCACAAAGATCTCAGCACAGAAATTGTAGGTCAGGTCAGGCTGTAGATCCAAGTGAGTGTGTTCTCCAAATGCCTAGATACCTCCGTGGCCATAGAGCAGAGAGGGCCCCACTGTACTGTGATCTATGTCAATGTAGGATAGGGCAACTCAGGCTGCAGTTGCAGAGAAGTGAATCCTCCAAATGCCTGGATTTCTGCCTGGGAGTGGAGCAGAGAGGGGCCCGCTGCACCAAGATCTCAGGGGAGCAGTCTGGGGCACACAGTTATGGGACACATAGATTGGTTCTAGGTCATCAAGGTGGCTTTGGCTGCAAGGTTCACAGCCCAGGAGAAATTGCAGCTATAGCAGCTCTCCTCCTGCTGCAGGTTTGAGATGGGGGAGAGCAAAATTCCATTGCTTACTGCTGAGGCACTTTCCACAGTTCTAGCTGTGAATGTCCTTACCCATCTCCAAAACGAGCACTCAAATTTCCAGCCTGAGACTGAAATGTTTGCATGGCCACACTGCCGGATCACCAAAGAATGGCTGACTTTGTTGCACCCAGATTAAAAATGGTGTTCTGTTCTCAGTCCCAGGTCTGGGAAAACGCCTGCAGCTTTTATTCATGTCTTTTCCTCACAGCATCTCCAAGCTTCTTCTCAGGTTAGCTCTCGTCTTGGGAGAAAAAAAAAATGCTCTGCCTCGGCTTGGGTTGCCTCAGATCTCCAGTGTAAATGTGAGTCACAGAGAAAGACTCTCTTCCTCTCTCACATACTGTGGTTGCACTAAATTTTATCAGCCAGATGCCATCATAGTGGCTGTTTGCCAGTGTCCTCTGCTCTCCTGATCTGGGGTGTCCTTCATGACTCTGGTGGATTCACATTTTCCTTTTTGAATTGAAGCTCACAGAGTTGATCTTTATGCACTATCTTGCTATTTCCAAGCAGCCGAGGCATGCTAAATGCCTCTAATCCACCGTCTTGTGGGAAAAACTTAGAAGACTCTGTTTTAAATGATATATTTGTAAATTTCTATTTTTCTAAAACTTTCTTATTATTATATAGACATTTAGAGGGGTTTTGTTTTGTTATGCAGTTTGATCCCATTTCTGGCCTACTTTCCAAACTCTCAACATTTCTAATAATTTAATAATGAAGTACTTTCTAAATATAGACATTAATATCATGTGTGAATTATGAAAGTTTTTATATTTTTTGTATATGCATTGCATTAAAAAAATTACCAGATTGACCATAACAACCAGTATGATATTCAGTAAATGCAGTGATATGCACATTATTCTCTTGATGTAAATAGGATCTCACCTTTAATAGTCATGCTTATTATACATTTTGATTAGGCAACATATTGTCTGGTTTAAATGTTTTATTATATTCATAAATTTCCAAAAGATTTTCACATGAATTAATATTAAATTTAGCCAATGCATTTAAAAAAACTATTTAGGTAATTCTGTGAGATTTCTCCTGCAATCTGTTAGCAATAACATTTAAAGTTTTTATAATGCTAAGTTACCTTTGGGTTCTTAGTGCTAATTTGACTATGACATACATTCATACAAACATATACATACATATATATGTGTTTGTTTGTATTTATGTAATTGGTTTTTTGCATTTTTTGTAATTATTGTATCTATGTTCATGAGGTAAATTTACATTGAATAACAATTTTCTTTCCCTTGTGCCATCTTTCTTCATTGAATATCAAAATTATACTGGTCTTACAGAAAAAAATAAGGGACTATTTCCTCATTCTATACACTTCATGATTTATTTTATAAATTTGGGATAATCTTTTCTCAGAAACTGGAGATTTAGGATAGATAGAAAGATTAAAAATTAATGATGTAACGTCACACTTAGAGGAATTAGAAAAACAAGAACAAACTAACTCCAAAGCTTACAAAAGAAAATAAATAAGTAAAATCAGAGTAAAACTCAATGAAATTAAGACCCAAAAATTCATATAAAGAATCAACAAAAACAAAACAAAATTAGTTTCTTGAATGAATAAACAAGATTGATACAGTACTAGCTAGATTAATAAAGAAAAAAAGAGAAGATCCAAATAACTACAATCGGGAACAAAAAATGTGACATTGTGACTGATTTCACAGAAATAGAAAAGATCCTCAGAGATAATTATGAACACTTCTATGCCCATTATCTTGAAAATCCAGAGAAAACTGATAAGTTTCTGGAAACAATCTCCCAAGATTTAATCAAGAAGAAATTAAAATCCCAAACAGATCAATATCAAATTCCAAAATTACATCAGTAATAAAAAACACACCAATTAAAACAAGCCCCAGACCAAATGGATTCACAGTCAAATTCTACCAGATGTACAAAGAAGAGCTGGTATGAATCATAATAAAACTATTCCAATAGATGGAGGAGGGACTCCTTTCTAACTCATTCTACAAAGCCAGCATCATACTGATTCCAAAACTTGGCAAGGAAAGCATGAAACAAAAACCCTATAGGCCAATATCTCTCATGAACATAGATGCAAAAATCCTCCACAAAGTTCAACTATATTAAATTGATATGGATTAAATTATGAATTTAAATTACCAAAATCTGGTGAAGATTATAAAAAAGAAAATGAGAGATCAACTTTACATACTAATACTTATGATATAAATTTAAAAAAGTTAGTAAAGTTCACCAGTATGATAAAGAATAATATAATAAAGCATAGAAAGTAGGGGTGATTTATATCATGTTAGAAAATTCAATTTTTTTAGAAATTTACTTCTATATAATTTGTTTTATTTAATAAGGTAGATTTAAAATGTCTTCTACATACCTTCAGAAATATAAATGTTATTTGGTAAAATCCAACAACCATCTCTAATTGTGAGAATGGAAGGTTATATGAAATAAGAATTAAGATATATTTAAAAAATATTTTTAGAGAGAGGGTCTTGCTCTGTCACCCAGGCTGAAGTATAGTGTTATAATTATAGTTCACTGCAGCCTCAAACTCCTGATCTAACTCTGACTCCTGAGTAGCTAGGACTGCAGGCATGCACCACCTCACCGAGCTAATTTTTTAGTAATGTTTTTGTAGAAATGGGGTCTTGCTATAATGCTCAGGCTGGGCTTGAACTCCAAGCCTGAAGCGATCTTCCCACCTTGACTTCCAAAAGCATTGGTATTATAAGTGTAAGCCACTGTGCTCAGCCTGAAGAGTAAAGATGTGTATCTCAAAACACATGATTCAAGATATATATCTTAAATCATGATTAAAAGTGAAATGTTATGCTCAACCTTATTGAAGTTAAGAATAATACAAACAGCAAGCTATTTTTGCTACTATTTAACTTTTTACTGGATATGCTCGCTGTTTCAGTATAGCTAGGAAATTATATGAGAGATATAAATATTGGTGAGAAGAGGGCAATATTACCAGTACTTGCAGAGGAAATTATTATATTCCTGAAAAACTAAAGAATCAACTAAAAAACAATTCGAGATTATCATTATTCCATAGTCTTTGCTCATCATAGAATTAATGTACAAAATAATAAATATTATGTTCTATAATATGCAACCTATATACAAATAATAAGAAATATAAAATATAATGGAAGAAAATTTATTATTTTTTATAGCAAAACCACAGAAAACACTGAGGAATAAACTTAACACAAAAGACAAAATTCCTATATGAAGCTCTAAAACTCTACTGAAAGACATAAATAATTTGACTAGAGATAAACTATTTGCTTTGAAAAGGAGTTTTAAATAATACAAAAATATCAGTTTTCTCTGAATTGATCTAAAAGTGTATGTAATACCAGTTAAAAATAAAATTTGATTTTTCTTATTTCTGAAAGATGGCAAATTATTCTACAGCTCATCTTAAAGAAAAACAGGTAATGACAGCCAAGATCATTTTAGAAAATGAACGATGGGGAAAATTTTGGTTTTATAAATATAAGTATATATTATTTATTTAAATATATATTCAAAAGAATACATAAAATATATGGTACATATAATAAAATATATATGATGCTATACAATACATATATAACATAACATATATATAGATATATACACACACACACAATACTTAAATCAAATCTCCAGTTCTACAATGTATCCTTCTTTATTTTGCTGCACATTTTTGAAGGCTTAACTGTATGGACTACTTTAGTGGACCTCCCATCCTTCCGGCTTCTAGTGGAGTTTGATGAATGGAAGGCTCTGACAAAAAAAATCAGAAGGTGGGAGAAAAAAGAGTTACTTATTCCTCTGCTTTCTTCTCCATTGCTTTATGGCAGATAGTTTTGTTCCTCTATCAGAGACCACAAATCCTAGCAGTCTCTCTCTCTCTCTCACTCTCGCGCACCTCTCATTAGTTTGTTTTTGTTTTTTGGCTTTTTAAAATTTTTAATTCTGTAAATGCTCTTTGACTTACCTTTTCATTCTTAATGGTGGTAATCACTTCCATCTTGGTTTCTCCAAACTGTATTCACATTTTTGAAATTAGTTTTAATATTAAATTTCTGAGAAACTAGTTTAAGTGTAATGTCAGATTTCTGAGATCCTTACCGATACAGTAATTTACCCCAAAAGTGGTCCCATAAAACAGATTCTCAAAATGAGATTCTGGGATTGGTTTGCTCACATATTTGAGGACCCCCCCCCCCAAAGACAATCTCCTTAAACAGAAATAAATTGGACAGTAAGTGACTCTTTGACCATTCTGGACTTTGACTTACCTGATTTAAAAACCATACAATTGGATATGTACAGTAGCATAACTTTACACAATTGATATGGTATATATGAGACCTTGTTAGTGCAGGTCTGAATGCACAAGTAAACCAGGTAGGAGGCTCAGACTCTTAGAGTACCTACCCCTGTTACTTTGCTACCTGACCCATGGCTCATACCAACTACCTTGTGGGGAGATTCCCTTTTACCAAATAATGAAAGAACAAAAGAGTAAAGTTCTAGTTGATAGGTAGATTTTCATGACAAACCAGCCCCACTGATGGCCACTGCACTATGGTCCTATTAAGATGTGGTCTCGAAAGATAGTATTGAAGGGAAATTCTCTCAGTGAGCAGAAATTAGATACGTAGTTTGCATGGAGGGAAAGATTATCTCAGATATGGATCTACAGTGATTTATAGGCAGTGACCAATGATTTGCTAATCAGGTTAATCAGGGACTAAAAAGGATAAGATTTGAAGAGCAATGACAAGAGGGTGAGGTATTCGATGGATCTCTCAGAATAGGCACATAGTATGATTATATTTATGAGCCGTATAACTGTCCACCTGAAGAAATCTACTGTGGCACATGATCTTTAATCAGGTGGACAAGGTGACCTATTCTGAATGTCAGTTAGTCTCTTTCCTTGGTCACCCTGGCAATTATCCAATGAGATTATGAAACAAGTGTCTATGGTGGCAGGAATAGAGGCTATGGATGAGCTCCAAAACTTGGACTTTTTTTCACCAAGGCCAAAAAAAAAGTAATAATTTCTATTCATTAATAAGGAAATTAGAACAATGGTATGATAATCATTAAAAAAATGAAAAGAAAATGTTTAAGAAATTTGACAAAACCCAGGCTTGTTGAGGACATAAAATAAGGAACAATCTCAGATGTTATAGTGCAATTAGGGAAGAGGATTTGTTTACAATATGAATCCATATGTAAAATGCTTATTCCTTTTGATATATTAAAAAACTCACTTTTAAAAGGTTACACTAAGGGAATAATTGCACATATTCAAAATTATGTACACATAAGGATTCATCTTATGATGTTTTTAATAATATAGAAAAGTTGAAAAATCATCTAAATATCCCTTGATAGAAACTGACTAAAGGAATTCTGGTGCTTACATAATATATAGCTATTAAAAATTATTAAATATTGTACTATTTCCTGAAAAATGTACTAATCATATTGTTGACTAAAGAAAAACACTTTATAGAACACCAATTCTCTTATTTATGTAAACTTCTATTCAGGACTTTTCTGCAAAAAAGGCAAGGTTTCTGTTAATTTTTATTTTTTTCTTATAATATTCCTGGCATTTTGAATTTTATGATGAACAGACATTATTTTTTACAAAGCATCCAAGATATTTTTAAAGGAAGTAAAGATTGTTTTTAAGAATATGCTTTTTAAAAATGTGTCATACAATCTTACTGGATTCGTACTTAGTTAGTAGGAACACATATACAATGCTTTCCACCCTGCTGCAAATTATATTATTTACTTCCGATTATTCCAATGGCAAAAATTTTTAAAGACATCTCTGCCTCTGAGTCATTATTATTCATTTCATTAAAATTGTTGCTTATTTATGTGTTTTT
Source organism: Homo sapiens (assembly GCF_000001405.40). Taxonomy (NCBI): domain Eukaryota; kingdom Metazoa; phylum Chordata; class Mammalia; order Primates; family Hominidae; genus Homo; species Homo sapiens. Next base: position 3,975,413 of record NC_000024.10, on the reverse strand, counting down.
TATTGCTATAAATATATTTGCAAAGCAGTTATGTGTTTTCCCAGCTAAGTTTCTAGGGAAGAGGTCAATTTAAGTGATACTATTCTGTTTGAAGGCAATCTTTTAAAATTGTTTTAGACCTTCTAAAATGACTGATTTGGTATGATTACTGTTATATCAGACCTTATGTAGTATACTGAAATGCCAGGGGTTTGGTATAGGTCCTTTTGCTCACCACACAGAAAGTGAATCACTGAGACAACAATTACTGCCAGGAAGAAGGCTTTTAATTCAGGTGACGTCAGCAGGAGTGATGGTAGCCAAACTTCAAATCTGTCTCCTTAGCTAAGTAAAATTGGGGGTTTAGATAGTGGTGGAGGGAATCTAACTACGTATGTGTGTGGGGGAAGTAAATTAGGGACAAGAAAGGAAGCATTCATGATGAATGAGGGGTCTGGTGTCTCATTGTCTGGATATGGTAATCTGATGAATTTTAGTTCCTTGCCTGAGGGTTGGTTTCCTGAGGAAAGAATTCAGATAAAGTAAATGTTTCAAGTTTTAAGACTAGGGAGTATCAATTTCCATGTTTACTTAAAAAATCATTATATCATTTCTATGGGGACATCAGGCTGGTTTCACTTAGGGATTTTAAATTTACTGTATTTACCATATCTGGTTTTGTTGTTACTGTTAATTATAGTGTAAAAATAAGCCTGTGATTTTTACACTTCAGTGTAAATAATAATTAACTGGGAGATTATTAAAAATAAAGATCCTTGGCTCTATCCCAGAGATTCTGATTCAGGTACAAATTATCTATGTATTGAGTAAAGATCACTGGACATATTTGAGAATAGGAATGAGATCATGCCTCTCATTCTTGTACTTTTTAGCATGCCTAGAGGAAGTTATTACTCTCTATAACAAGGCTAGTAAGGTTTTCCCAAATCTTGAGTTGGGTGACCAGTATTTACTTTTGTCATTATGGCTGGGTTTTATGTATCTCTCAGAAAACCAATTATAAACGTGCTAAAAAAATAATACCCCAAAAGTCTATATAACAAATATTGGTTAATGAATTGTTATAATTATTTTGCCATTGACATGAATGATTCCGTTGTCACATATTTTCTAAAATGTATAATATCTGTTTTGTTTATATAGCTGTCATAACTCTATTTTATGAGCCAAGAATACTTATTCTCAAACTTGGATGCATATTGGTATCACCTAGTGAGTTTAAAACAAATTACTAATATCTTGGTCCTAGAAAGAGATTTTGATTTGTCAGGGCGAGGTCTGACAAGGTTTTTAAAAGATTTTCAGGTAATGTTAATGTGCAGCCAAGGTTAAGAATCACTCTTTTGCAAGACAGGAAAAATAAAAATCCAGAATTGCCACAACCTGGGCTGAGAAGGCTTTTATTTAATTACTTATAGTACTAGACTTCTATTCAGTAAATCTACTTTATGCATTGCTATGTGTTCATCTCTCAAATCCTGCTCCTCTGATGTTTTTTATTCAAAATAGTTACCATTTCAAAGGCCATTGACTCAATCCATACTTTAGAATATAAGTTTCTCGAGGATGCAAAGGTTGCCTTATTTCTATATACTATGGATAGGTCTTAGGTCTTAGCTAGGACGCTGACCTTGCTGTGTCCTGTGGGCACTTCACAAGTGCTATAAATAAAGATGAAACCCTTCTCCTTGAGCTGAGGACAATCAACAGGAATCTGACTTTTCCCCAGGGACTACAACTGAATGTAGTTTGAAAGAAAAAGAAAAAGGTTCAACTGTGGATCAAAGCTCTGTCAGGAAAGAGGAAGACTGATGATTAGCTCTTTAATGTCATATTTGTGCTGGGAAGTTAACCTCTCTTAAGAACCAAACACTGTTTGAGACAGGACTGTCTTCTGGAAGAACTCCAACTAACAACAGCCCTTCACCTTTTGCACTTTAAAGAACTCAATACATTTTGTATTCTGTATGTATTTTTAAGGCTGACTGCAGGGAGTCAAATTCAGTGTTCAAAAACAGGATTCTACTTAAGTTCTGAAAACCCCTGCTACAAGAACCATCTTTCTCTTCTTTGCTTCATTTTCCTTTTTACCTAGATCAGCAGAAAACTCATATTGCTTTTCCTCTCATTCAACTCTGAATATCTTTGTTTCTAATATAACAAGAGCTAATAAGTACTAAGTTATCAGAGCAGTCATTAAGAAGAAAACACCTACAATTCATATTATTTGAAAGACATCTAAATGTTGAAAAGAGCAAAATGTTATTGAAAGGGAAAATTGATGCATAGCATGACAAAGGAATAATGTGTTCAACTTAATCAAATATTTGTGAAATATTTATCTCTCATATATCCATATGGATATATACACACATATGTACGTAAAATATTTAATTCATTCTTTCTTTCCTTTATTAACTCTTTATCAAGCCCTTATCATTTGCCAAGTAATTTTCTAGTGAAGAGTGGGATGCATTTGCAAATGAAATGGTTCTCTTTTCTAGAGAGCTTATATTCATGTAAAAAAAACAGAAAATAAATAATATTTGAGTATAAAAGAGTTCACTAAAGATGTGTGGATTGGATACAAAAATTTGACATTGTCAGCATATAGATGTTATATAAATGCATGATGCGAAATTGCATTCTCAAGAATATTACTGGGTGTAGAAAAGAAAAGGCCACAGGCTAAGCACGTTGGCACTGAGGAGCTAGGCAGAAATCAGCAAAGAAAGCTGACAAGAACCAACAATGAGGTAAGAGGAAGATGAAGAGATGATAGTGTTTTGGAAGTCAAATGAAGAAAGTGTAAGAAATGTGTTGAATGGTGCAAATAATTTGGTAGGATGAGGACTGAAGTCTAGCCATTGGATTGGGCAATGTTGAGATAATTTGGGATCTTCACAAAAGAAATGTCAGTGAAGTGGTTGGGATAAAAGACTGAATAGACTGGGTTTAAGAGAAAATCATAGGAACCAAAATGAAGACAGTGATTATATACAACTATTTTAAAATAAATCTCGCAAAAATACTATGAGCATGTATTGATACGTATTAAGTTAGTCAGAAAGTTATTTGGGGTTTTACACTTTTTAAGGATGATAATTAGAAATGCTGAACAAACATAGTAAAGAAAACATTTGCTCATTTTAAAATTAGGTTTAAAATTCCATTTTAATGAAGATATTTATTATGGCATGTTAAAATTATGAACCACAATTTAGTTTTCTATGAAGCCTAGATCTCAAAAGAAATTTTATAGAGTACATTAAAGAAATTATTGGGGCTTACAGGATTTATTCCATTTTGGAAATATATTGAGTACTTTCTACTGACATAGTTTGTCAATGATTTTATGTAATTACTTTGTATAACAAGAAAGCCTAATGGAACTTATTTCCAAAGGGAAAACATAGTGACTCTCTAAATTTAAATAACCTTTTCTTCTAAAATAGTATTTTAAAAACAATATATGCAGGATGAAACTTTTCAGAATAATTTATTCAAATCAAGCAGAAAGAAAAATGTATCTTGGGAGGCTGACACAGGAGGATCACAAAGTCAAGAGATGGAGACCATCTTGGCCAACATGGTGAAAACCCGTCTCTACTAAAAATACAAAAATTAGCTGGGCATGGTGGCACGCGCCTGTAGTCCCAGCTACTCTGGAGGCTGAGGCAGGAAAATCACATGAACCCAGGAGGCAGAGGTTGCAGTGAGCCAAGATCATGCCACTGCACACCAGCCTGGCGACAAAGTGAGACTCCATCTCAATAAAATTTTTAAAAAGTATCAATATTACTGCTCAAACTGGAGCTATGATTAGTATCTAACTAGTACAGCTCTTCACCTTCAGATTAACATGACTGTGTATAAGCCCTTCGACACATTATTGTTTCAGAAATGAGCAAAGATCCTGAAAATAGGATTAAAAAGAGTCTTGAAGGACTTTAAGAACACTGAATGGAAGTTAAGCATAATGTCTTAGTATGCACTGGTTCATAGTCTACTCATGTGTTGCTTTTAAAATAGTTGAAAGGGCACTACCAGCCGTTCCCAAACTGATACAACTAACTTTAGAACAAAGAAATATATGATTGCCACGGATTGAATGTGTTTCCTCAAAATTTATATGTTGAAAAATAACCCCCTTATGTTGTGTTTAGAAGGTGGGGCCTTTGGGGAGGTAATTCAGACATGAGGGTGAGACACTCATGAATGGGATTAGAGTCCTTATAACAGGCTGAAGAGGCTATCGTTGTCCCCTTCCACCATAAAGGGACACTGTTAGAAGGCATCAAATATGAACCAGAAAATAGCTTTTACCTGAAACCAAATCTGCCAGCACCATGATCTTGGATTTTCCAGGCTCCAGCATTGTGAAAAATAAATTTCTGTTGTTATAAGCCACCCAGTTGTGGTATTTTGTTATAGCGGCTTCAACATCCTATGGTAAGACAGAAAAATGAAATTGGCTTAAAGGTATTGCCCACCACTGTTATATGAGACACTATAGAGCAGTGTTCAAAAGCACAGGCTTGGGCTGGGCGTGGTGGCTCATGCCTGAAATCCCAGCACTCTGGGAGGCCGAGGCGGGTGGATCACAAGGTCAGTGGTTCGGGACCAACCGGGCCAATAGGGTGAAACCCTGTCTCTACTAAAAATACAAAACAATTATCTGAGCATGGTGGCATGCGCCTGTAGTCCCAGCTACTCTGGAGGCTGAGGCAGGAAAATCGCTTGAACCCAGGAGGTGGAAATTGCAGTGAGCCGAGGTCGCACCAGTGACTCTAGCCTGGGCGACAGAGCAAGATTCCATCTCAAAAAAAAAAAAAAAAAAAAAAAAAAAAAAAGCACAGGCTCTGTAGCCAGACTGAATAGTACTGAAAACTGGCTCTGTCATTTGAAGATTAAGTATGGAGAAATACAAAGATAAATAGAATCTAGTTGCTGCCTTTAAGATATTTGAAAGTGGTTGAAGACATAATAATTCTATGGAAGGATTAGGATTATTCACAGTATAGTGTTTGGGACATGATGGGGAATGTCTGTTTTTTAGGGAAAGTTCACTAGCTTAATAAATATTTTTTAAAATATATGAAATAACTAAATTAATAATACAAGTTGGTTAGATCAGATATGCTCCTATTATATTTTCAAGAGGTTTTAAATTTATAACTTATTACACATAAAAGAGTTCATTCTCTCTAAACTCAGTACCCCACAATTATTCGCTCCATACAATATTTTTCTGCCGTGTAGAAAATTAAAACTACAATTGAACAATTCATATTCTTACGAACTCACCTAGAGCTATGCCCTTGGAAAACTTTGCACCCTTCAAAGGGTATGTTTGGAGTTGAAGAAAGTTAGAAAGAAAGACAATATATGATGCTGTTGACATATTTTTCCTGAGTTCTTTTGAAACCAATCTCATAATCTTATAGACAGTTTTTTTTTAATAAAAATAGAAATTTGCTCTTCTAGCCTTAAAGCTTATAACTTACATTTGCCTTATCTGAGATCCTTACTCAGGAAACAATCCTTAGGCCTCTCAAAAAGCATCAAAGAACTAAAACTCACCAGATCACCACACTCAAGACAATGAGATGCCAGACTCATTCATCATGATTGCTTCCCCCTCCCTAAATGCTGTTTTCCTAACTGACCACTGCTTCTTGTTGACCAACACCTCTTTCTTATTTTTTTTTGTTTTTTATTTTTTTTTTTTTGAGATGGAGTCTCACTCTGTCACCCAGGCTGGAGTGCAGTGGTGCTATCTCGACTCACTGCAAGCTCTGCCTCTTGGGTTCAGGCCATTCTCCTGTCTCAACCTCCCGACTAGCTGGGACTACGGAGCCCACCACCACACCTGGCTAATTTTTTGTATTTATTTTTAGTACAGACAGGGTTTCACCTCGTTAAGCCAGGATGGTCTCAATCTCCTGACCTCGTGATCCGCCCGCCTCGGCCTCCCAAAGTGCTGGGATTATAGGCATGAGCCACGACTTTCATTTTTTCTTCCACAAACGCACCATTATTAATTTTCACCACTGTGAATACTGAAAATCGTAATGCTTTCCTTGGTTATTCTAGAGTCAATTGTATAACTGTTATTTTAGAGGTGTGGGAAAGGCCAAGCACAACAGGGAATTAATACTATTGAATTAACAATGTATCTCCAAACTTATAACTGACATTGTCAATAACAATTTGCACAAGGAAAGAGCATGCCTGTAGCAAGCCCGAAACACAAAGTACATTTCATATACAATAGGTAGCATGGTATTGCCAACACATTTATTTCAGTCTTGTCAGACCCTGAGCAGAGAATGCAGTCATTTGTGTTTGAAATTCTGACCTGCTGAACTAGAACTTCATTTTTTTCAAGCTATTATATTTTTGGTAGTTAAACAGCAATAGGAAACTAATACAATGGCTAACTCAGAAAAGTTATCAGGATACTTGATAAAAAGGTATTTTTAAAATAATATATAGAAGAAAAATATATTCCTTTTCCGTTTTCATTTTTTTTTCTGAGTTTTTTTCAGTTTAGGTAGACTATGCCTTTGAAGAAATCAGAAAAATAAAGAAAACCAGACATTCTCCTTTTGAGGAAAAATTATCTGTACATTCTCGAAACCCGGGCCACCATAAAACGTGACAGTTGATTTTGTCAGCTCATTTGACAACTTACTGCCATAATCCTTCTTTGTTAAATTGATAGCCTGTCTAGAAAAAAAAAAGAAAGAAAGAAAGAAAAGCCATTCAGAGAGTGCCTCTAGGTCAGATGTATATGCTGTAGTTTCCCAACCTCCTGCCAAATTTTTTAACTTTTCAGAGCTCCTGAAAAACAGGATATGTCAGGTTTAAAATAAGCACTTCTTGACCTTTTGTCCCAGAATAAAACTCATAAGCTAACCTCAGTTTGCTTATACAACCTCTAAATCTAAATTTAATCATCCCTATGGAATTAATTTAGGCCCTCCTTAGTCAAAAGAAAAAATCAGATGGCTCTCTGACTTATGTCCTTTAGTTGGCTCAAGTGTCAGGGGCATAATTGGATTTTTAAAAGAACCTATCTTCCAGCATGTACTGTGTTGTGACCATATTTAATAAATTATGATAAAATAAACTCTTCTAAAGTCTGTACAGTACTGGATATGGGAAAATGGCAAGAGGAAGGACTTGAAGGAAAATTTATTTTGCTTTCATACATGGAATTTCCTAAGTGAAAAACTTGAAAGTTTTCTTAATTATCCTTAATAGCTATATTAGCAAGCTGTGCCTGAAAATACTTAATTTTAATGAAGAATATCTGTTTTGTATGAAAATAAAACTGTTCTGTTTAGTGACTATCCATGCTTCAAACTAGTTAGTATTAGGTTAGGCAATTAAACTGCCAATCTCAAGTTGAAATATAGACATTCCCGTTACAAGAATCAAGGAGTATTCTGCCAAGGAAGGAGACGTGATCACTTGAATGTGTTGATCACAGATCAACTCCTGTGTTGAGTTGTCTGCCTTATTATGCAGACGCTGGGGAAAGCAGTAGAATTGACAAGCTGAAAAAACGTTATTCTTTAAAGCGGGCAAATGTAAGACAAATGAACTAATTTTTGTCTAACTCTGTGTGTAAAACTCTAGAGACTAAATGATTTGCCAAATATCTAGTAAACTCTTATTATTACCTAGCACTCAAAGATAAAACGGCTTTGACTCAATATGCAGAATTAGCTGTCTTTCTGCATCTTTGTATTCTTTCTAGCCTTTTGCTAGAAAGTTTATTGCTTTTCCTTTCACTCTTCAGCAGTTATTATGACTTGGAGTAAATTCTAGAAGACCCAAAATGAAATTAGTTCGAGATTTTACTAAGGTAATTCTTTCTAAGGCAGACTTCCAGTGAGTTGAGTTCAAAAGTACAAGATAAATCTCAGGTCTATCTAACAGATTTCGACCTTTTCATTCTCCATTACCTGACTTTGAGTCAGTGGCATCACAGGCACTATAGGCACTTAAGGAATCATTTTTCTTTTTCAGGAACTAATCAAGTCTTACCCTCCTGCACCCCCAACCCCAACACTTATCAATGTAGGCAAAAGAACAAGGAGGAGTAGGAATGGGAAAAACAGAAAAACTATTTTTTATATAATTAAAACATTCTCATAAATTCCAAGTTACATCTCAGGAAATTTGTTTCAGTGTTTGTACACAACAGCCTAGCTGTTCTTTGGTTCATCTGGCTTAACTTTCCTCGACAGCAGCAAAAACAAAAGCTTTCTGGGGAAAAGTTTATTGCAATGATTGAGTCAATTATCTGTAGTATTCAAGAGCTCTCCTCTGTTTTTAAAAGCATCTCTACCTATTAAGAGCCCTGAGATTCAGTTCCCAGAAATAATTCTATACTATTTCTCCCTGGGTTACATCCCATATATACCTTGAAAACCTACTTTAGTCCCACTCAAACTTCAAAGCCTTGCCTATTAATGAGAGGTGAAGCCAGCCGGACTTCCTGGGTCTAGTGGGGACTTGGAGAACTTTTCTGTCTTACAAGAGAATTGCAAAATGCAGCAATCAGTGCTCTGTAAAACACACCAATCAGCACTCTGTAGCTAGCAAAAGGATTGTAAAATGCACAAATCAGCGCTCTGTAAAAACGCACCAATCAGCGCTCTGTAAAAACGCACCAATCAGCGCTCTGTAAAAACGCACCAATCAGCACTCTGTAGCTAGCACCAGGATTGTAAAATGCACCAATCAGTGCTCTGTAAAATGCACCAGTCAGTGCTCTGTAAAATGCACCAATCAGCAGGATCCTAAAAGTAGCCAATCACAGGGAGGATTGAAAAAAGAGCATTCTGATAGGATAGAAACGGAACATGGGAGGGGACAAATAAGGGAATAAAAACTGGCCACCCCGGCCAGCAGTAGCAACCCACTCGGGTCCCCTTACACACTGTGGAAACTTTGTTCTTTTGTTTTTCACAATAAATCTTGCTGCTGCTCACTCTTTGGGTCTGTGCCACCTTTAAGAGCTGTAACACTCACCGCGAAGGTCTGCGGCTTCATTCTTGAAGTCAGCAAGACCACAAACCCACCAGCAGTAACCAACTCCAGACACATTAATTTCATAATTTTTTTATAATTCTAATTTTCAATTTTTTTTTTCTGTTTCTCAATTTTGTTTTTACTATAGATCCCTGGCAAGGCCTAAGAAATATACTCTTTATTGATCAGCATTTGCCCTGGAGAGCCAATGTACAGCTCGTCTCTTATTCTGCTTATTTGCTGATTAACATAAGTTGCATATAATTGGAATAATGACACTTCGTTGTTCATAAGAGTTTCTCATCATTGCTGTGTATATGACTTTTAAAATTTTACATTTATGCATGAATATATGTATGTATGTGTGGATGCATTGATCTATCTGTATCTATTGGTCTATCGATCTATTGTCTCTCTATAATATACGTGTGTGTGTGGGGAGAGAGAGAGAGATCTATAAATATAAAAACCTGTGAATACACTACAAACATGAGATGTATATTACTAACAATATCTCCTATGTACTCATATACATCCTTTGACAGTTCTTGTAGTTTACCCAAAAGAAAGTGACCACTTTTTAAAGTCTCATATTTGTCATTTCACCATTCCCTTGCATATATCCATGCCTCTCTCTCTCTCTATCTATCACCTGTATCTATATCTGCATCATCTATCTCTCTATATCTTTTTTACAAAATACACTAGTTTCTTTTTCTCCAGTCATTCTGGCCTTCATTTTTTTTTTTTTTTTGAGATGGAGTCTCACTCTTTCACCCAGCACCCAGGCTGGAGTGCAATGGCGAGATCACACCTCATTGCAACCTCTGCCTCCCAGGTTCAAGTGATTCTCCTGCCTCAGCCTCCTGAATAGCTGGGATTACAGGCATGCACCACCATGCCAGGCTAATTTTTGTATTTTTAGTAGAGACAGGGTTTCACCTTGTTGGTCAGGCTGGTCTCCACCTCCTGACCTCATGATCCTTCTACTTCGGCTTCCCAAAGTGCTGGGATTACAGGCATGAGCCACCCGCACCTGGCCGCTTCATCTTATTTCAATATGGTAAATTTGTAACAATTAATATACCCATATTAATATATTGTTACTTTATTAAGATTTTTTAAGTTTCTCCTAATGTCTTTTTTTTTTCAGTTCCAGAATCCCATCCTGAATACCACATTACATGTAGTTATTATGATTCCTTAAGCTTTTTTTAACTATGGCCATTTCCAAAACTTTTCTTCTTTTTAATAAACATGACAGTTTTGAGGAGTGCTAGTCAGGCATTTTATAGAAAGTCTCTCAATTTGTCTAATGTCTTTCTCATCATTAGACAGAATAATGTGGTTTTACAAGGAAGATTACAGAGAAAATGTGCCATTTTATGTATCATATCAAAGGAACATACTATCAACCTGGTTTATGAATTTTGATGTTCACATTGATTACCTGGTTGAAATAGTGTTTGTTAGGCTTCTGCACTTTAGAGTCACTCTTTTTCCCACTTTCTATACTCTTTAAAAAGAAGTTGATATGCAGAGCCCACCCGTAAATAATGAGGAGTTATGTTATCCCCCTTTAGGATGGATTATCTACATACTTTATTTGTACTTTGTCCATGTGAAAAATTTGTGTCTTCACACCCATTTATTAATTTATTCAATCATTTATTTATGTTAGTTTTTGGACTCATGAAGATTTATACTTTAAGTTACAATTTGGTACTACTTTATTCATTGTGTTGTTCAAATTGTTCCAGCATTGGCCATTGGGAACTCTTTCAATGGCGCTTCTGTTTCTTGATATACCCCCATCTCTATGTAACTGAGCACTTTTTTTTTTAACTTTCTGGCCTTGAAAAATGTTCCAGACTCATTTTGTATATTTTCTGCCCCAGTCCTAAAATCAGCCAATTCTCAGAGAAACTCTGGCTCTTTTATTGGAGGATGGTATTAGAAATCGAGATTTGGGAAATTAAGTATGTAATTTACTTCTGAGATATTGCTTCTCTTAGGCCCTCTCAGCTAATGGGGAAAAGAAATATATCTGTGCATACTAACCTGTGTAAATACACATATCTATAAATACTTATATGTGTTACCATCTGGATCTATATTCATATACATATGTGTGTGTGTGTGTGTGTGTGTGTGTGTGTGTGTGTGTGTGTGTTGAAATTTAATTGTCATTGTGATGGTGTTGGGTGATGGGGCCTTAACAAAGTGATAGGCTATGAGGGCTCCATCCTCATAAATGGATTAGTATCACTACCAGAGGACTAGGTTAGTTATTGTGGGAGTTGATTTATGATAAAAAGGATCAATTCAGCTCACATCTCTCTATATATCAAGTGTTTACTTCTGCCTTCCATCCTTGCACTGGGACATTACCCTCACCAGATGCTGGTGCCATGCTCTTAAACTTCCTAGCCTTTGGAGCCATGAGCCAAATAGACTTTTCTTTTTTGTTTGAAGAATTACCCAGTCTGTACTAGTCAGCTATAGCACCAGAAGTGGCCTAAGACATCTGAGAATGTCTTAATTTCTCCCTCATTTTCAAAAGACAGTTTTGCTGGATATAAAAACTATTGGTTAACAATTTTCTATTTTCACCACTTTAAATATATCATTCTACTCCCTTTTTCCCTCCAAAGTTTCTGTTATGATATCCACTGTTAATCTTATTGAGAATCCCTTGTATATAGTGGGTTACATGAGTTTCTCTTGCTGGTTTCAAGATTCTCTTTTGGCTTTTGAATATTTGATTGTTCAGTGTCGGTCTTCTTGGGAGCTTCTTGGATTTATAGATTCATGTATTTTCTCAAATTTAGAGAGTTTTCAACCATTAATTCTTCAAAATACTCTCTCTACCCCGTTATTTATCTGTCTTTTCCTTCTGAGACTCGTGTGATCTGTACAGTGGTCCTTTTAATGAAGTCCCTTAAGTTTTTTTAGTTTATGTTTACCCTTATTTATTCTTTTTTTTTCTTTTTGCTTCTCACACTCAATTATTTCAAACAACTAGTCAAGTTGTTGATTCTTCCCTCTGCTTACTTGCATATACTGTTGAATCCCTTTTGTGAATGTTTCAATTCAGTTATACAATTTTTTAATATAAGAATTTTGATTTGGCTTTCTTTTTATAATTTCTGTAGTTTTGTTGATATTTTCATTTTGCTCTTATATTGTTTTTCTGATTTTTATTATTCCATGTCCATCTTTCCCTTCAGGTCTTTCAGCATAAGGGAAACACAGTTACTTTAAAATTTTGGCTAGTAAGTCCAAGCCTGTGTTTCTCTAGAGACAATTTCTTCAACTTTATTGTTTGTTTGTTTGTTTGTTTTGAATGGATCAGATTTTTCTGATGTTTTCTGTATGCCTTGTTATTTTTGTTGCTGTCAAACATTGAATATTCAAAAAAAGCAGATTCCTCTCTCAGTCTTTGAAGACTGGCTCTGAGCCAAGGAAGTCATTCTCTAATCAGCAGAGCATTTTTTGAGCCTTAGAATCAGCCTGATATGAGGCTGAAGGTCTTCTCTGGTCTTTTCTGATCAGGAGTCTCAGATCAGACTTTTAAAAATTCATCCTTATGTGCCGTATACAGCTGCTTTTTAACATCTTCATTTCCCAAAGAGGTTCAACCCAGCTTTTCCTAAGAGATTTAGACTGTCTATTGTACATCTCTACTCATAATCTTTTACCCCCAGGTGCCTGTGCTTCTTTGTCTGCCTGCAGTATAAGAGCTGTGCCTGCCTCTTTCAACTATGTTGCCTGAACTGAGCTCCAACATAAGATAAAGAGGCAGCTCCCAGAAAGGTTAAAACATTAGAAATAATATCTGTTCTGTGTCCTCCAGTTTGAGAAAGAAAATTTAAAACTGGGCTGCAACATCCTGCAGACCAAGACCATGCTGCACCAGGAAGGAGGTGGGACAAGTTTGAACAAAATCACTTTAAAACTTACCATTATTTTTTAAATTTCTTGATTGGATGTTCACTAGTTGCTGTAGACATTTGTCTGTTTTTCAGGGCTCTTACAAAGTCTATTTCATCAGTTTTTTGGGTTTTTTTTTGTGTGTTGCATTGACAGAAGAACAAGATCATGGAGTTTCCTGGTCAACCATTTTGTTGATGTCACTCTTAGACTTCGATTTATGTTTATAAATATTATATGCTTATAAAGCTGTGATAAAATTTTCTACCATAGAAGTGGGAAATTTCTTTTTCCTTGTAATTCTATCAATATTTGCTACATATATATTTTATGAAACTTTTAGGTGCCTATACAATTAGAATTGCTTTACTGTCTTAGTGAATTAAATTTTTATAATTATGTAATTGTCCTAATGATGCTTTTTATATCTCTATGTTGTATGGTATAAACATGACACACCAGATATTTTATTAGTAATTTTATATCATATTGATTTTCATCCTTTTTTTCTCAACTGTGTGAATTTCTTCTGTATGTGGTTTCCTTACAAGGAACATAGGGTTGGGTTTTATTATTACTGTTGTTGTTGTTTCTATTATTATTATTAACATTACTCAACCTTAATCACTGCCTTTTAAATGGTCAATTTATTATAATTATTGTAAATATTGAAATATATAGACTTCTAACATCCTAGTTTTTTATTTGAATTTGACTCACTAAACATCTTTTATGTTTGTTCTTTCTTAACGCACATATACAAAGAAACAAACAAACACAGATATCTACATTTATGCCTTCTTCCTAATTGGAAAATACTGTTTGATATTTTCATATTCTTGATCTGTCAATAACCTGTGCCCTGAATATTATGTTGTTGCTTTGTATCATTTAAATTCTAGATAACTATGAATATAATCTTCTCCCTCTTTTCTTTGTTATTAGCTATATTTGTTAACAATTACAAAATTTATCAAGTTATTTAATCAACTTTACCTTGCCTGTCTCTTGCAACATCTGTTCTATTTGTTCATTTTATAATTTGGATAGATCCCCCAAAAAGATTTTCAAGGTGAGTCATTCTCTTGCAAATATTCTCAGGTCTTTGTGTCTTTGTAAGAATTAACTTATCCTGGCCTCTATTAAACACCTATTTATGTGTTTTCTACTATTCTACTAGTTTTTAACTTTTTGTTTATTTGTTTATAACTTCTATTTCTTTTACCACTTTTATTTTCCTTTTGAAAGGTGAAGCCAGCTGGACTTCCTGCATCGAGTGGGGACTTGGAGAACTTTTCTGTCTTACAAGAGGATTGTAAAATGCAACTATCAGCACTCTGTCAAAATGCACCAACCAGCACTCTGGAGCTAGCAAGAGGATTGTAAAATGCACCAATCAGAGGTCTGTAAAATGTATCAATCAGGGATCTTAAAAGTAGCCAATCGCAGGAAGGATTGAAAAAAAGGGCATTCTAATAGGACAGAAATGGAACATGGTAGGGGACAAATAAAGGAATACAAGCTGGCCACCCTGGCCAATAGCGGCAACCCACTTGGGTCCCCTTCCACGCTGTGGAAACTTTGTTCTTTCACTCTTCACAATAAATCTTGCTGCTGCTCACTCTTTGGGTCTGTGCCACCTTTAAGGGCTGTAACACTCGCCGAGAAGGTCTGCAGCTTCATTCTTGAAGTCAGTGAGACCACGAACCCACAGGCAGGAACCAACTCCGGACACACTTTGGGAAAGTTTAATATTGTTTCTCAACTCATTAGTTCATTTTGTATATGTATTTATTCAACTATTTACCCTATAATTTCTAGTTATTCCTGAGTTCTTTTTTCTGTTTCATATCACTAAAATTTTTTCTTTTAATTTTTAGTATATATATATATGACTTATTATAAATTCAGATAATCATTTTAAATGACCAATGTGGTCTACGATCTCTATCTTCTAGTATATTTGTAATCCAGTTATTTTTTAAAGTACTTATACTTCTCAGATTTCTATTTTTGCCTGTGACACTGGAGTAAGTCTAACTGGAAATGCATATCACACATCAAGGGCTGGCCAAACTTCAGTCAGTGTCACTCACACCCTTTCTCCAGTAGCATAATCAAAGAGAAGGATAGGTGGATTCTTAGAATAAGCAGCCCCAAGCACAGAAGAAACATTATCATTCACTCCAGTTTTATATCCATCTATAGGGAATTCTTTAAGTCATACCTTGCTTTTGGAAGCTGAGGGAAAAACAGAATTGAAGAAGGTATGCCCTAGGTCAGCAGTCTGCAGAAAATATTGAGTGGAACAAATACACCTCAGAACTAATGTGGTTTTGTACAGGATTTTTACTAAAATGGTTTATACATTTTAAGGGTTTATAAAAATAAATAATAATATGTGACAGAGATCTTTGTGGTCTCCAAAATGTAAAATATTAAATATCTGGCCACTACAGATAAAAAGTTTCCTTATCCTTACCCTAGGTTGTAATCAAATGGCTTTAGAAGTTTGAAGAGGAAAGAGAAGAGTAAATGTTTGATGCTTGTCAAACTTCATGAAAAAAAGCTTTTGCACTATTTTGCCCATGTGGACACCTGGCCTAAGGGATGCATTTTTGCCACAGAATTTCATAGTGAAGGGGCAGGTGTTGATTAAAACAAGGCAATGGCAGGGGATACTAAGGAGCAGAATTCAACTATTCTAAAAAATATATTCAGCTCTGCATTCTCCATGTGTATACAAAAACACACATTCCCATCAATTCAAAATGACTTTTATTTCCCTAGGATGTTTCACACAGTTGATATTTACTTTCCTTAAAAAATGTTTAAAGATGTTTCATTTATTTCTTCTTCTTCTTGAGGGATTGAGACAGCAGCTCATGTTAATTCACCATTTTGGGAAGAATGGAATTAAGAATCATACTTACTTTAACTTACTAAATCCTGTCACTTTTTTTTTTCTTTTTTCTCTAACATTGAAGAAAATTGAAACAGGTGTTGTGCTCTCAAACTAAGGATAATTTCCGACTTGTTACATGGTTACCAACAAAGAAAAAAGAGAAACATCTTAACACCTGATTAATCACTCCAGACTCTGCCTGCTTGGGCTCTGTCACTCTTTAAATGTGTTACTTTGGACGAGTTACTTAAAGAGTTGTCTGTAAAATGTGAGTAATAATAGTAACTAATTTATACAATTGAAATAAGAATCAAATGAATGTTTTTATGATACTTAAAACTGTGATTAACATAAGTGTTACTAAAGTGTTTATTAAATAAACATAATAAGAAAAATGTAAACAATTTAATATATTACTACCTCACCTTGCATTTCAAGGGTTTTAATAAGGCCACTTACATCGTGATGACCCAAACATTTGCCATCTTTTTATTCTTCTTTTTTGGGAAGTTAAATCTAACTTCTTGTTTATAATATGCGTGTAAGTCACTCTGAATTAACAGTTATGTCTTGTAATGGTTAATTGTATGTCTCAATCTGACTGGCCATGAAGTATCCAGATTAAACATTATTTCTAGGCATGTCTATGAGGGTAATTCTGAGTGAAATTAGCATTTCAATTAGTGGACTCAATAAAATAGATTGGCCTCCCCAAAGTGGACAGACATTATCTGATCCACTGAGGCCCTAAATATAACAAAGAAACAAGGAATGATAAATTAGACTGTTTTTTTCTGCCTCACAGTTTGAGCTAGATCATCTCATTTCATCTTCTTTAGCCCTCAGACTGTCTGTGTTTTCATTGTTTCAGCAAATTAAGCCATCCCCAGATACGTAGTATGCAGCCATTGATCTGGTAAATGATTTTTCTCCAAACCTGTCCTTATGGCTGACCAGAGCAGTTTGCTTTCAGCTGACAAGGCCACCAGTACACCTTCACTGTCATGCCTCAGGGTTATATCAACTCCCTAGCCCGATGTCAGAATTTAGTTAACAGGGATCTTGATCACCTTTCCCTTCCACAAGATAGCACACTGGTCCATTACATTGATGATATTGTGCTGAATGGATTTAGTGAGGAAGAGGTACTGCCTACTCTAGACTTATTGATAAGACATCTGTATGTCAGGGAGGACAGAAAATAAATTTCACTAAATTCCATGGGATTTCTACCTCAGTCAAATTTCTGGGGTACAGTGGTATGAGTGGGGCCTCTTGAGATATTCCTGCTAAAGTGAAGGATTAGTTGTTGCATCTGGCCCTTCCAACAACCAAGAAGTAGGTACAACTCCTAGCGGGACTCTTTGGATTTTGAAGGCCACATACTCCTCATTTGAGTGTGTAGTTTCAGCCCATTTACCAAGTGACTAGAGAAGCTGTTGATTTGGAGTGGGACTCACAATAAGAGATGGCTCTGTAATAAGTTCAGTCCTAAGTGCAAGCTGCTCTTCCACTTGCACCATATCATTCATCAGATAGGAATACTATTTGAAGCCCTTGGCCACCTCCTATAGGTGCAGTGGGGGTCTTTAAAATTTTGGAGCAAGATCCTGTCATCCTCTGAAGATGACTACTCTCCTTTTGAGAAACAGTTCTTGGCCTGTGACTAGCCTTTAGTAGAGACTGAACGCTTAACCGTCTCCACCAATTTACCATGTAACCTAAGCTTCGCATCATAAAATGGGTGTTATCTAACCAGAAAACTCATACAACTGAGCATGCACAGCAACACTACATCATCAAACAGAAGTGACATATGAATTACTTGGCCTGAGAAGATCCTGAGACGCAAGTAAGTTACGTGAAGAAGTGGGTCAGGTACCTATTGTCCTTATTCCTACTATGCTACTTTCTCTCTTTTACCCTTTACGTATGACCTCGTGGTGAATAACTTATGATCCTTTGACAAAGGCAGAGAAAACTTAAACCCTGTTTACACCTGCATAATATGCAGGCATCATTCAAAAGTCAACAGCTGCAGATCTACTGCCCCCCTCTGGTATATTCCTGAAGGAGCGTGGCAAAGGGAAATTTTCTCAGTGGGCATAACCTGGAGCAGTGCACCCAGTTATTCACTTGGCTTGGAAGAAGAAATGGCCAGAGGTGCAATTGCATACTGATTCATGGGCTGTGACCAGTAGTTTGGCTAGTTGGTCAGGGACTTGGAAGGAACATAATTGTAAAATTGATGACAGACATGTGAGGAAGAGGTTTGTGGTTAGACCTCTCTGAATGGGCAAAAATTATGAAGGCTTTGTGTCTTATGTGATTACTCGCTAACAAGAGACCTCAGCAAATAATTTTAATGGTTAGTGGATAGAATACCCATTTTCCAGATACTAGTCAGCCTCTTTCCCCTGCCACACCATCGTTGCTCAGTGGTTCACGAAGTGGCCATGGCAGCAGAAATGGAGACTTGCTTAGCAACATGGCTTTTAACTCACCAAGGGCAACTTGGCTATGACCACCACTGAGTGTCCAGTCTGCCATCAAAAAGAACTGAGTCCCCGAGATGATACCTTTACCCAGGGTAATCAGCCAACTACCTGTTGGCAAGTTGATTACATTTGACCACTTCCATCAAGAAAGGAGCTGCATTTTATTGTTTGTGGAATAAACACTTACTCTGGAAATTAATGTGCCTTCTCTGCATGCAGTTCTTTTGCCAAAACTACCATTTGGGGACTTACAAAATGTCTCAGTCACTGTTATGACACCCTACACACTGTTGTTTTAGATCAAGAAACTCAGTTTACAGCAAAATAAATGTGACAATAGATAGGTCCATGACCATGAAGTTCATTGGCCTTACCATGATGCATACCATCTTGAAGTAGCTGGCTTGATGGAACAGTGGAATAGCCTTTTGAAGACTCAGTTACAACAGCTAAATGTAAACACCGTGCAAGCCTGGGGAAAGGTTTTCCAGAAGGCTGTGCTGTGAATCAGTGTCCAATATATGGTGCTGTTTTTCTCATAGCCAGGACTCATGGGTCCAAGAATCAAGTGGTAGAACTGGAGTGACAATGTTCACTAGCATCCATAGTGACCAACCAGCAAGATTTTGCTTCCTGTTTCTGTGATTTTATGCTCTGCTGGCCTAGAGGTCTTAGTTCCTGCGGGAGGAATGCTTCCACCAGGAGAGGTAACAATGATTTCATTGAACTTGAAATTAAGACTTCCACCTGGCCTCTTAGGGCTCTTCACATCTCCAAATCAACAAAGATGGAAGTTACAATGTTGGCTGAGATGATTGATCCTGATTACCAAGGGAGATATTGGACTGCTACTCCGTAATGGAGATAAGGAAGAGTATGTCTAGAATACAGGAGATCTCTTATGGTGTCTCTTAATATCCCCGTGCCTTGTGATTAACTTGAATGGACAACTATAACAATCTAAATAGAAACCTGTAACAATCCATCTAAGCAGGACTACTAATGGCCCAGACTCTTCAGCAATGAACTTTGGGTGCTTCATTGAACACCCAAACTTCAGTTGAGGTGCTTGCTGAAGTCAAAGAGAATAGAAAATAGGTAGTGGAAGAAGATAGTTATAAATAACAGCTATGACCATGTGATCAGTTACAGAAAGGAGAATTATAATTGTCATAACCAATTTTTCCTTAATTTCCTATGAGTACATTCATATATTCGTGTGTACGTGTGTGTGTGTAAAATCTTTGTTGTGTTTTGCTTTCTTATTCCCTTATGATGTAACATAAAATGTATTGATTTTAATTCATACAAATTTCATTTTAGTATTGTTAATTTTACATCATGTTACATCATAGTATTTAGGTTACATGATGTCAAGGAGAAGAGTAAACATCGACCAAAGAATTTGCCTCCCCTTTTGGGAAGAAGTAAGCATGTTTTTGTTTTTTTGCATGGTACTTGTATCATGTTAGGCAGTGTTATGATCTTGTTATAATCTTTACTTGAAGATTAAGTATTGTTTAAGGAGATGCATATGGGTGCCGAATGGACAAGGAGTGTAATTAGGATGGTTAATTTTATGTGTCATCATGACTGGCCATGGGGTGCCCAGATTAAACGTAATTTCCTAGTGTGTCTGTGAGGGTCTTTCCAGTTGAGATTAGCATTTGAATTGGTGGATCAGTAGATTGTGGATCTCCATTGTGAGTGGGCATCTCCCAATCTCCTGAGGGCCTAAATAGAACAAAAGGGGGAGGAAAAAGTAACTCACTCTTTTTATTTTTATTTTTTCCCTGCTACAATGACCGAAACATTTCAACTCATTTTCTTTGATTCTCAGACTGGAAATTATACCCCCCTTGGCTCCACTGGTTCTCAGGCCTTTAGTCCAGGACTGAATTACTCCATTGGCCTTCTTTGGATTCCAATTTGTATTTAGCAGATTATGGGACTTAGTCTCCACAGTCTCATGAGCCAATTCTTCATTATAATTCTCTTGATGCACATGTATGTTCTGATATATTGATAGATCAATAGCCTATATAACCAATAGGAGATATATATATATATATATATATATATATATATATATATATATATATATATATCTCCATCCCCAGGGAACCCTAATACATGTCTTATTTAAGAATATATTTTTACTAAAATTTTTCATCTGTGAAAACAAGCAAAATGTCCTATCAGACCTTAGAAACATTTAATTTTCAGACTTTTTTTTGGCGATACTAAATCTCAAAGCCAAAGAACTATTTGCAGGTATCTAAAACGTGCTTTGATGATGTATACTGAAGTGGAGGCAATTCCCAAGCTTCTTTAAAATTTCTACATAATCTCATGTGTGATTTTATATTTTTCAATAATTGGTTTTTATTATGATATTTTATGTGTAGATATAGTTATGAAGTCTAAACATGCTCAAAATAGCACACATTTTATCATTTATACTTTCTAATAATTTACTATAATGCCCCAGTACTTATTATTTAATAAAGCTTGGACATATTTGAATAATTCCTTTAAAGATTAAAGATAATTAAATAACAAATTTACTTTGCTAAAAGAAAGAACCATAAGAAAAATGACCACTTAATAGGATTTATAAAATGTACTTCCAAAAAGACTCCAATTACTTCTAAAAGGCTCTGATTACTTCTGGAATAATATAATTTCAGTTTCATGAGAACCATTGTGATTTAAAATAAAATGTGAATATTTATTAATTTTGAAAAAGTAAAACCTGTTACGCTTTCTTACATTTAGCAGCAAGATATTTTATGACAAATGTTTCAATACATATTTTACAACATAAAAGAACAAGGATGAAAAACAAAACCTTGCAAAAAAGAACTGGTGTTGACACATTAGTATTTTGCTAACCTCTAGAATTTGTCTTTTCAATACTCAGTATTTACATAGTATAATACATTCTCAAAGTGCTCTTTGATCTTTAATTAGTTAATTCTTATGACACTTTTATGAGATAGGTCACAACTTTGAAGAGGAAATAATTTACCTTTATAAAATGACATCAGAGTGTGCCCAATAGGAATCTATAGTAATTCAGGTGTCAGGTAACTAAAGATTAAATCATTGATAATTCTCTGAAGCTAGTCATGCTGTCTAGTATTATTTTTATTTTAAATACTAAATTTCTATATGGCAGTATCAAAAGCAGAAAATGAAGTAGCAACTGCAAGGCCATTTGTTTCTAATTTAGGAAATTAACAAAGACTGAGCAAAACTTTTGCATGTAAAATAATGTGGCTTTGATTATCTTAATTCTGTATTTCACTCCTTTCCCAGGTACCTGAATGTGGACACTCTACTTAACCTCTCTGATCCTCATTTCTCATATGTTAAAGTAGTTATCATTATATATCCTATAGGAGTATAAAGAAGATTAGGCAAAATATATCTAAAGTAATTAAAGAAGTACTCAACACTCAATAAATATTATTTACTTCTGTTGTATTAATGACATAATGAAAATAACAATGAAGCAGAGGAGGCGGAGAAGTAAAAGTGTAATAACACAAATTATAACTTTATGGTTACGTGGTTTCAACCTTTTACTACTCAAGTTGAGCTTTCTCAGACTTTCAGATGTTTACAAAACAAGCCTGTTTCTATTAAGTGCTGCTAGTCACCTAGGCTTGTAATCCATTATGTCCTAGAAGTAGTACCTAGGTTAATAGGGAGAGAGGAACTGTGATGCAATGTCTGGTAAAAGATTTATTATACAATTGGGAAACGACACTGATGTGGTTTGGCTCTGTGTCACCACCCAAATCTCATCTCAAATTGTAATACCCACGTGTCGAGGGAGGAACTGGTGGGAGGTTATTGGATCATAGGAGTGGTTTCCCCCATTCTGTGCATGTGATAGTGAGGGAGTTCTCATGAGATCTGATGATTTTAAAAGTGTTTGGCAATTTCTCCTTTTCTCTCTCTCTCTCCTGCTGCCATGTGAGATGTGCCTTGCTTCCCCTTCACCTTCCACCATGATTGCAAATTTCCTGCGGCCTCCCCAGCAATGCAGAACTGTGAGTCAATTAGACCTGCTTATACATTACCTGGTCTCAGGTAGTATCTTTTTAGCAGACTAATAGAAACACCTAGTAAACACAATCTTTACAGGGCCAAGTGGGAAATTTATTCTTTTTTATTTTTATTTTTTTGAGATGGAGTCTTGCTCTGTCACCCAGGATGGAGTGCAGTGGCGCGATCTCAGCTCACTGCACGCTCCGCCTCCCAGGTTCACGCCATTCTCCTGCCTCAGCCTCCCGAGTAGCTGGGACTATGGGCGCCCGCCACCACACCCAGCTAATTTTTTTTGTATTTTTAGTAGAGACGGGGTTTCACTGTGTTATCCAGGATGGTCTTGATCTCCTGACCTCATGACCCACCCTCCTCGGCCTCCCAAAGTGCTGGGATTACAGGCATGAGCCACCACACTCGGCCGGAAATTTATTCTAAAAATTACGTGAATGTAAAGAAAAAAGAATAAACCACTGTTAAGAACAAAGTTGGAGACATAACAGAAATAAAGATTTATTTAAAAGGTAGATTAAGACAATGTGGAATTAGCCAGAATCGACAAACTGACCAACAAATCTAATAAAAAAGCTCATAAATAGACCAAACATTTACATAAACTTTACATATGACAGAGCCGGTATTGCAGATAAGTATTAACTGCACTATTTGAAAAATGGTGCTAGACAATTGGTTGTGTGGAAAATAAAATAAAATGAATTCTTTACCTAAAACTATATACAAAATTTAATTCCAGATGAAATAATAACATATCTGTACAATTAAGTTTTAAAGCTTATAAGAAAAAAGTAGCTTTATGGTCTTGAAGTGGGGAAGGTTTCATAAGCAAGACACAAAAAGGGTTAAACATAAAACAAAAATCAGGCCTTAAAATTAAGATACCAGAAAGAAAAAAAATGTGACAGGCTGGAAGTATATATTTGCAAGAAATAATCTGCTGAAAGGTCATTACTATGTTTGGTGCAAAAGTAATTGTGATTTTTTGTGTACTTTTAATGGCAAAAATCTCAATTACTTTTGCACCAACCTATAGTAATGATCTTTTGGCAGATCATTTGTTGCAAATATATAATTTCAGCTTTTCACTTTTTTTCTTCCTAGTATCTTAATTCTAT
Source organism: Homo sapiens (assembly GCF_000001405.40). Classification (NCBI taxonomy): domain Eukaryota; kingdom Metazoa; phylum Chordata; class Mammalia; order Primates; family Hominidae; genus Homo; species Homo sapiens. The sequence goes on along the minus strand of NC_000024.10, from coordinate 3,951,840 downwards.
TAAGATAATATTAATAATGATAATTTATATGCAAATTATATGTTATTGACTTTCAGAAATTTAGCCCTACCTGGTCCCACTGCTTCACCTTTTGCTGTCTGCATTATACCTCCACACAGCAACCAGAATGGTACTTTACAAATGTCATATTACATGTCTGCTAAAACTGCAATATCACCCCATTTCAGTTGCATTAAAAACCAAAGTCCTGTTAGTTCTCTGAACTCATCTCCCACTGTTCTCCCTCTTGTTCACTTTTCTTCCAGCTGTACTGACTTTTTTGCTCTCCCATGAAAATATCCACTAAACACTCCCTACTTACATTTTTCACCCTATGACTGGAGCCTCATGAAATTCATTTAACACCTTTTGGGTTTTGATCAAAGGACACCTTGTCAATGCAATTTACTCTGACCACTCTACTTAAAATTGTTCTCATCCCCATTCCTGGCACTCTCATCCATCTTATCTTGCTTCTTTATTTAAGCACTGTATTGGTTTGCCAGGGCCACCATAACAAAACATCACAGACTGTGTGGCTTAGCCAACACAAATTCATTTTCTCACAGTTCTGGAGGCAGAAATCCAGGATCAAGATGTTAGCAAAGTTGATTTTTTTTTCTGAGGCTTCTCTCCTTAGCCCTCAGAGAGCCAACCTCTTGCTGCACTCAGTAGCCTTTCCTGTGTGATTGCTTATCCCTGGTGTCTGTCTCTGTGTCCCAGTCTCCTTTTCTCATAGGGAAACCAGTTGGATTGTATAAGGGACTATCCTTACAGACTTGTTTTAATTTAATTACCAATTTAAAGACCTTAACTCCAAATATTATTACATCTGATGTAGTGGGTGTTAACGCTTTAACATATAAATTTTGGGGGTCACAATTCCATCTATAGCAAGTGCTTATCACTTTATAACATGAAATACGTTTATTATATATGATTTTTGCCTTTTACCCTCATTAGAATGTAAGCACCACAAAAGCAGGATTTTTTTCTGTTTTATTCTCTGAAGGATCCTAAGCATTTATTTCAATGCTTGGCATGTAGTAAGCACATAATATATATTTGTTGAATAAATACAGAGATTTTTATGGAAAATAAATGAAATCAACCAAGTATCACAGACAAGACAATTAATGTCAATGATATTATACAAACAATATAATGAATATATTATGCTATAATCAAACAATGAAGTGATTTTCAAATATTACTGTGAGTGTGCATCTCCTGGGAATCTTGTTAAATGAAATTTGTACTCAAGGATTTGATAGTGGTGCCAAAGATTCTACATTTCTAACAAATTTCTAGGTGATCTCAATGTTGTTGGTCCAGGGAATGGGAACACACTTTGTGTAGCTGAGCCATACAAAAGGAAGATGAATGTACCTCACAATGAATCTCAATGACTTATGTTCAGTCAAACAAACAAGTGCAGTATAATTCTATTTATGTTACTGTCAAATGCAAGTAAAATTAGATGATATAAGGTTTAAAGATATATTTACATGTGGAAGAATTATAAAGTGAAGCAAAGAATAATTAAAATAAGTTTTAGATTAGTGGTTACAGCTGAGAGTGCAAAAGAGGGCTCAATTTGAGAGATATTCAAGGGTTTTAGATATAATAGTTAATCTTGTATTTTAATCTCAGTGATGGGTGTATAATTACATATTTCCTCTGTGGTTTTTAAACTGGGCATGTATTGTAAGGAATGCTCTTTCATGTCTTGGAAATATTTTGCAAAAACAGAGAAAGCAGCAGTAAAAGGAGAAAAATACTTAGAAAAAGTAAGAAGAATGCAAGTGAACAGAGTGAAATATCTTTTGTCCTTCTGTCCCAAACATTTATCAGCCTCTACTCAATACTGAGCCAGAGAGAAATTAAAATTATTTTCTGCCAGTAAGTAGCTCTTGGTCTAGTAGAGACAGAAGATTCACAAACAAATACATGTAAAAAAAATTAAAAGAAAACAAAAAAAGTGTCTTCTGTACTTTCTAACAAAGATTAAAACACCATCTAAAATTATTTTAAAGATAGGAAATCATATATATATTTTTTAATTGCTTTGTGAACCACTATTGACATGCTTACTTTAAATCCTTTCGTCTAAGGTTGCTGTAGGTGGTGTAAACGTTTTGCAACTGATACGCAGAAGCATAATAAGAGAAAGTACTTAGTTAAAACAAAGTTTCTAACACTAATATGTTTAAAGTTTCTGTGTTTTAATATCCTTTTGTATGTTTTGTGATCTGGCTTTCCAGGGGTGCTTAATGCTTTCAAAACTTTGCTGTAGGAAGTGACATTTACAGGACATCTAGAGAATTTCACCAAAGAGAAATGCAGAGAATAGTACTCTATTTCTGAGGATATTTAAGCTATTTCAACATTTGAATTTTGTTATAAAAGAAATATATTTGTTCCCAAATGTTACATTAGTTATACAGGGATAGCATAACACAAGCTTTCATGAAATTTGCAATTCAGAAAAACTCTTCTTGTAATAATGCACAATGTTTAGATAGGCATTCATTGTACAACTGGTTTTAATAAAAGACTCAGCCATAAATGGAGCCTTTTCAGTGTATAAAACTGATTAAATATTGGGTTAAGAGAACTATGCTGTTTACTTGTTCAGTAGCTTCACTCATAAAAAGAGTAGAATTTTGAGATTTTCAGATAACATGCTGGCTTCATTTCTCTAACCCTTTAACAGGCACATTTTTTGCATTGCCAAATAAAAAGCAAATCCAGAATGAGTAAGGAGAGACTTTTATTCAAAAGGATTATTGCAAGGGAGGGGAGAAGGACTACTGGAGTAGGGTGAATGCTGACTGTAAGGTCTGCCAGTGTTTCAAGAATTAGGCAGAAATGGTTTTTTGTTTGTTTGTTTTTGGTTTTGTTTTTGTTTTTTTTCTTACAGAGAGAAGAAAACAAGGCTTGAAAGAACCCCAGTGTGGGGGAAGTAGGATGAAAGGGTGGTATGAGACAATAGTAGATCACAGAATGTTTTACCCTGAGGCCAGACTATTATGAGGAGGGTTTCCCTGTTGTCTCAGGCTGAGGGTAGACCAATGTACAGGGGTCTGGAGGAAGGAAAGAAGCCTAAGTTGCGTTAACAGGTATTTTATTCCTGTTGATCTTTGTGGATAAAACATTTCAGCCAATCATTTATAAGGCAAAAAAAAAAAAGGGATTTGGAGGGACTTTATGGAGTCTTGTTATCAGTTAAGCAAGGAAGCAGCCATTGTTGAGTCTTATCAAAGTCATATGAGGAAGGATGGTTCTTTCCAGTAATCCATTTTGCAAAACAAAAAAATGATAGGATCGTTTTAACTTGAGTTGTTTCCTGAGAGCATGAGGCTTAGGAAAAATTCCAGATTGTCAGCATGATAAAAGGGTCCTTAAAAGCTATAGCTTTATTTTAAAGTTATTGTAAAAGAGGCCTCGTTAGGTTAAATAACTTCTTTTGGGTCAAAAACCAAGTCAACAGCACAGTAAAGCCAGGACTATATTCATTTCTTCTCCTTCCAAGAATACAGTTTTGCCAGAGATCATCTAGATTTTGAGAGGACTGAAATTTGCACAATATAAGAGTCCACTTCAAAGAGAAGTATTCAAGAGAAAGAATACAAAATGGTTAATAAATTAGATATAAAAGTAAAAACTTATGTAGAATAAGAAAACATATGATAAGAAATTACACATTTTAACAGACAACCTATAGAATAGGAGAAAAATTTTGCAAACTATGCATAATTTGAATAAGGCAAAATATTCAGAATCTACAAGAAACTTACACAAATCAACAAGAAAAAGAAATAACCTAATTAAAAAGTGGGCAGAGGACATGAACAGGTACTTGTCAAAAGAATAGATACTTCTCAATAACAAACATATGAAAAAATGCTCACTAATAATCAGGGAGATGGAAATCAAAACCACAATGAGATGCTATCTCACACCAGTCAGAATGGCAATTATTAAAAAGTCAAAAAATAACAGATACTGGTGAGGTTGCAGAGAAAATAGAATGCTTATATACTGCTTGTGGAAATGTAAATTAGTTCAATATCTATGAGAAACAGTGATTTTTCAAAGAACTAAAACTAGAACTATCATTAGACCCAGCAATCTCAATATTGAGTATATACTCACAGGAAAATAAATTGTTCTACCAAAAAGACACCTGCCCTCACATGTTTTTCACAGTACTATTTATAGTAGCAAAGACATGGAATTGAGAGACAGGACTAGCTGGATTTCTTAGGCTGACTAAGAATCCCTAAGCCTAGCTGGGAAGGTGACTTCTTCCACCTTTAAACACAGGGCTTGCAACTTAGCTCACACCCGACCAATCAGATAGTAAGGAGAGCTCACTAAAATGCTAATTAGGCAAAAACAGTAGGTAAAGAAATAGCCAATCATCTGTTGCCTGGGAGCACAGCGGGAGGGCCAATGATCAAGATAGAAACCCAGGCATTCGAGCCAGCAATGGCCACCCCCTTTGGGTCCCCTCCCTTTGTATGGGAGCTCTGTTTTCACTCTATTTCACTCTATTAAATCTTGCAACTGCACTCTTCTGGTCCGTGTTTGTTATGGCTTGACCTGAGCTTTCGCTCGTTGTCCACGACTGCTGTTTGCTGCCGTCACAGACCCACCACTGACTTCCATCTCTCTGGATCCGGCAGGGTGTTCACTGTGCTCCTGATCCAGCAAGGCGCCCATTGCCACTCCTGTTCGGGCTAAAGGTTTGCCATTGTTCCTGCATGGCTAAGTGCCTGGGTTCATCCTAATCGAGCTGAACACTAGTCACTGGGTTCCACGGTTCTCTTCCGTGACCCACGGCTTCTAATAGAGCTATAACACTCACCACATGGCCCAAGATTCCATTCCTTGGAATCCGTCAGGCCAAGAACCCCAGGTCAGAGAACACGAGGCTTGCCATCATCTTGGAAGCGGCTCACCACCATCTTGGGAGCTCTGTGAGCAAGGACCCCCGGTAACAGAATCATTCCAGGTGCTTGTCACCAGTGGATTGGATAAAGAAAATATGGCCTATATGCACTGTGGAATAATATGCAGCAATAAAAAAGGATGACATCATGTCCTTTGAAACAACGTGGATATAGCTGGAGGCCATTATCCTAAGTGAATTAATACAGAAACAAAAAAACAAATGCCACATGTTTTCACTTAAAAGTGGGAGCCAAATACTGGATACAGATGAACACAAAGATGGGAATGATAAATACTGAGGATTCCAAAAGAGGAGGAATGAGGAAGGGGGACAAGGATTGAAAACTACCTGTTAGATACTATGTTCACTATTTGGGCCATGAGATCATTAGAAGTGAAAACCTCAGCATCACACAATATACCCAAGTAAGAAACCTGCTCATTTATCTCCTTAATCTAACATTTTAAAAAGCTACAAATAACACAAGTATCAAAATAGAAGAAAATTAGCATATTCAGAAACAATGCCATACTCTTTGACTCTTCATAGAAAAATCATATTTGAACAACATTTTGTATAGAAACATTAGAAAGACAAATAAGTCTCCTTGTAACATGGTTGATTAAAATTAGTTTTTACATTATGGATATTTTTTGAAAGTTTGTTTTAGCTTCAAGACCTGTTTATTTTAAGGCTGAGTAAACATTTAGAATTTTTGTCAATTTGGGTGAAACCTGTATTGAATTATATTCATGAGCTATAAGATTTCATGGCATTTCAAGTTTTCCTGTACAGTATTTGTAAATTCCTTTAAATTGAAGACACACAGCTTGTCTTCTAATCTTCATTGTAGAGCTGAGTTTTGATTAGTGTCAAAGATATCAGCATTTCATATAAAAGGAGCAAAAAATGAATCTTCTTCGTTATGTTTATTTGATTCCCTCCTTCATATTAATTTGGACAACAAAAAAACTTCATTTCCTCTATTCAAAATTTATCTTTTCTTTAATTTTTAGTATGTTCTTTCTACCATTTTTTTTCAGGGATCACCAGAATTCATCAGGACAAGATATCCTCAGTATATAAAGACATGATTCAATATATTGAGATACACGACACAAGGGACTTCACACAAATTTCTGCATTTCACAAGTTTTTTTCTTCTCTACTATCCATATTCTTCCAGTGTTGTGGAACATGTTCATATTACTATAGAACATCTTTCTCTGCTCCTTCTTGCCACCATGCCAGGTGAGTTGTCACAACATACTTCAGATATATTCTTGGAAGCCATTCCTATGCTGAAACAATTGGTAGCAGCTTAACTATGCAAAGAAATGACTCAAAGCACAGCAATAAATCATAGTACAGTAGATAATGCTTTTCCCAAGTATAGCATAGATTGAGGTGATCATCATTAGGATAGTTTTGCTGACTTAGTCTCAAAGACTGGGGCTTTTTCACTGTAAAATATTCACCAAAAAAAGAATAATTGAAGTGACACATAGGTTACTTAAAAAATCTGCTAATTTCTTCTGTGATCCACAAAGTAGCTTGCATTTTTGTAGTTGTTTATAGATGAACATGTTAAGACTTCTCTGTAGTTTTGTAGAAATGCAACTTACTAGTAAAATTCACCTGAACCTCAGAGAAACAAATTAGTCTTCTGAAATTCCCACTTCTCAAATTATTATGTGAATATGTGCCTATTATAGAAATACTTATAAATGTCCTTGTCCTGTGGGAATATTGTAGAGACTGAGAAACAGCCAACTGCTCTTCACAACAGCAGAAAATAGAGGTATTTACTTTTTAAATTAGGGCCAATTCTTCAGATTTGATCCAGTACAAAAATGTATATGTTTATGTAATAACTGCAACTTCAGCAAAGTGCCATCTAGATAAGTGACAAAGACCTACACAGTTGCTATTACGTTAGTCTGTATTTTCTTTTATTACAGCTTTAACAGATCTCTAAAAATAACCAACTCTATAATGTGAGAAATTAACATGATATAATAATTTTTAAAAGTTCCATTTTGTGCATCATTTTGGATCTTTGCATTGATTTTATCCAGAAGATTATATTAAGAATTGTCCAAGTATTCTCATAAAATAATATTGGCATGAATAAGGAACACTGCAAATAGTCCAAAGAGTGTCAGTCTTGGGTTGTTGTTGTTTGGTTTTTTTTTTTTTTTTTGGCTTTTTGTTTTTTTTTCTCCAATAAGGATGATCAACAGTAATCATACAACCAAGCAGTCTTTTGAGTTTATCAGGAGGGGAAGCTAACAGTTGAGCTTACCTCTCAGCTGGTATAATCATGTTTTGGACAAAACATAATTTAAACCAACAAAGATCAAAAAAGATAAATAAAAGCATCACATAATAATAAATGATTCAATTAAACAGGAAAATCTAACTATTATAAATATATGTGCACCTAACACAGGAGCACCCAGATACATAAACCAAGTTCTTAGAGACCTTCAAAGAGATTTAGACTCCCACACAGTAATAGTGGGAAACTTTAACACCCCACTGACAGAAAAGATTAGGCAGATCATCAAGACAGGTAATTAACACATATATTCAACATCTGAACTCAGCACTGGATCAAATGGACCTCATAGATATCTACAGAACTTTCCACCCAAAAGCAGCAGAATATACATTCTTCTCATTGCCACATGGCACATACTCTAAAATCGATATTAATTTTAATGAATTTTAATAATTTGAAGTAAAACACTCCTCAGCAAATGCAAAAGAACTGAAATCAAAACAATCACTTGGACCACAATACAATCAAATTAGAAATTAAAAATAAGAATAAGAGAATTCACTCAAAACCATGCAATTACATAGAAATGGAATAACCTACTCCTGAATGAATTTGGGGTAAATAATAAAATAAAGCAGAAATCAAGATGTTCTTTGAAACTAATGAAAACAAAAATACAACATACCAGAATCTCTGGGAGAAGGAAAGATTCTTTCTGTATGGTTAGAAAAAGCTAACCCAGAGTTAAGAGGAAATTTATAGTACTAAATGCCCACATCAAGAAGTTAGAAGGAACTCAATTTAAAAACCTAAAATAGCTAGAGATCCAAGAGCAAACAAATTTCAAAGATAGCAGAAGGCAAGAAATAACTAAAATCGGCTGGGTACGGTGGCTAGTGTATGTAATCCCAGCACTTTGGAGGACGATGCGGGCTGATCACTAGAGCTTAGGAGTTTGAGACCAGCCTGGTCAACATCGTGACACCCCATCTGTACTAACAATACAAAAATTAGCCAGATGTGGTGGTGCACACCTGTAATCCCAGATACTTGAGACCCTGAGGCACAAGAATTGCTTGAACCCAGGAGATGGAGGTTGTAGTGAGCCAAGAACATGCCACTACACTCCAGCCTGGGTAACCAAGTTACACTCTGTCTCAAAAAATAAAAATAAAAAATAAAAAAATAAAAAATCACCAAAATGAAGGCTGGGTGCTGTAGCTCTCACCTGTAATACCAGCACTTTGGGAGGCCAAGACAGGCAGATCACTTGAGGTCAGGAGTTTGAGAACAGCCTGGGCAACATGGTGAAACTGCATCTCTACTAAAAATAAAAAAATAAACTAGAGGTGGTGGCACGTGCCTGCAGTGCCAGCCATGCAGGAGGCTGAAGCAAGAGAATCACTTGAATCTGGAAGTCAGAGGGTGCACTGAGCTGAGATTGTGCCACTGCATTACAGCCTGGGTGACAGAGCAAGACTCTGTCTCAAAAAATAAAAAATAAAAATAAAAATAAATAACCAAAATCAGAGCTAAACTGAAGGAGATAGTGATGAACACAAAAAACTTCAAAAGATCAACAAACCAAGAGCTGGGTTTTTTGAAAAATAAAATAAAATAGACTACTAGCTAGACTCATAAAGAAGAAAAGAGAGAGGATTCAAATAAACAATAAACATAGTCAGAAATGACAAGTGGGATAATAACACTGACCTCACAGAAATGCAAATAACCATCAGAGAGTATTATAAACACCTCTATGAACACAAAATAGAAAATCTAGAAGAAATGGATAAATTCCTGGACACATACAGCCTCCCAAGATTAACCAATAAGAAATCGAACCCCGAACAGACTAATAACAAGCTCTGAAATTGAGTAGGAAATAAATAGCCTACCAACCAAAAAAAGCCAAGAACGAGACAGATTCACAGCTGAATTCTGCCAGATGTACAAAGATTTGGTACCATTCCTGCTAAAACTATTACAAGAAATTGAGGAGGAGTGACTCCTCTCTAAAGCATTCTATGTGCCCAGGATCATGCTGATACCAAAACCTGGCAGAGACACAACAAAAAATGAAAACTTCAGGCCAATGTTCATGATGAAAATCAATGCGAAAATCAATGCAAAAATCTGCAACAAAATAATGGCAAACCAAATACAGCTGCACATCAAAAAGCTTATCCACCATGATCAAGGAGGCTTTTTCCCCAGGATGCAAGGTTGATTCAACATGTGCAAATCAATAAATGTGATTCATCACATAAATAGAACTAAAGACAAAAAACAGACGATTATCTCAATAAATGAAAAAAAGACTTGATAAAATTCAACATCCATTAATGTTAAAAACTCACAACAAACTAGGTATTGAAGAAAAATACTTCAAAATAATAAGAGCCATCTATGAAAAACCCACAGCCAAAATCATACTAAATGGGCAAAACCTGGATGCATTCCCGTTGAAAACGAGCATAAGACAAGAATGCCCTCTCTCACAAATACTAGTCAACATAGTGTTAGATATCCTGACCAGCGCAATCAGGCAAAAGAAAGAAAGAAAGGGCAGCCAAATAGGAATAGAGGAAGTTCAACTATCCCTGTTTGCAGATGACATAATCCTATAACTAGAAAATTCCATAGTTTCAGCCCAAAAGCTTCTTAAGCTGATAAACAACTTCAGCAAAATCTTAGGATACAGAAACAATGTGCAAAAATTAATAATATTCCTGAGAGCCAAATCAGAAACAAATTCCGATTCGCAATTGCCACAAACAGAATAAAATACCAGCTGGGCGTGGTGGCTCATGCCTGTAATCCCAGCACTTTGGGAGGCCGAGGCGGGTGGATTGCTTGAGGTCAGGAGTTCGAGAACAGTCTGGCCAGCATGGTGAAACCCCGTCTCTACTATAAATCCAAAAAAATTAGCCGGGCGTGGTGGCATGCGCCTGTAATCCCAGCTACTCAGGAGGCTGAGGCAGGGGAATTGCTTGAACCAGTGAGGTGGAGGTTGCAGTGAGCCGAGTTCGTGCCACTGCACTCCAGCATGGGTGACAGACTGAGACTCTGTCTCAAAAAAAAATAAAAATAAAAATAAAAAATAAATAAATACCTAGGAATACAGCAAACTAGGGAGGCAAAAGATCTCCACAAGGAGAACTACATACCACTGCTCAAAGAAATCAGAGATGGGCTGGCGCAGTGGCTCACGCCTGTAATCCCAGCACTTGGGTGGAGGCGGGCGGATCACGAGGTCAGGAGATTGAGACCATCCTGGCTAACATGGTGAAACCCCGTCTCTACTAAACACACAAAAAATTAGCCGGGTGTGGTGGCGGGCGCCTGTAGTCCCAGCTACTCGGGAGGCTGAGGCAGGAGAATGGCGTGAACCCGGGAGGCGGAGCTTGCAGTGAGCCGAGATTGCGCCACTGCACTCCAGCCTGGGCGACAGAGCTAGACCCCGTCTCAAAAAAAAAAAAAAAAAAAAAAAAAAAAAAATCAGAGATGACGGGAAAACATTCCATGCTCATGGATAGAAAGAATCAATATCGTTAAAATGGCCATACCACCCAAAGCAATTTACAGATTCAATGATACTCCCATTAAACTACTCTTAACTTTCTTCACCAAATTAGAAAAAATCTATTTTAAAATTCATATGGAATGAACAAAAGAGCCTGAATAGCCAAGAAAATCCTAATAAAAAGGACAAAACTGGAAACATCACAGTACCTGACTTCAAAATATACTACAGGGCTACAGTAACCAAAATATCATGGTACTGGTATAAAAACAGACACAAATGCCAATGGAACAGAATAGAGAACCCAGAAATACGAACATGAGCCTGTAACTATCAGATCATTGACAAATCTGACAAAAACAAGCAATGAGGAAAGAATTCCCTATTCAATAAATGCTGCTAGGATAACTGGCTAGCCATATGCAGAAAATTGAAACTGGACCCTTTCCCTATACCTTACACAAAAATTAACTCAAGATGGATTAAAGACTTAAATGTAAAACCCAAAACTATAAAAACCCTGGAATAAAACTTAGACAATACCATTCAGGATGTTGACATGGGCAAAGATTTCATGATGAAGATACCAAAGCAATTGTAATATAAGCAAAAATTGACAAATGGGATCTAATTAAACTAAATAGCTTCTGCCCAGCAAAGGAAGCTATCAACACAGTAAACAGTCTACAGAATAGGATAAAATTTTTGAAAATTATGCATCTGATAAAGTCTAATAGCCAATATCTATAAGGAACTTAAATAAATTTATAAGAAAAAACTAACAACCTCATAAAAAAGTAGGCAAAGTACATGAACAGACACTTTTCAAAAGAAGACATACAGCCAAGAATCATATAAAAAGAAGCTCAATATCACTGATAATTAGAGAATTGCAAATGAATATCACAAGATTCTATGTCCCATGTCAGAATGGCTAGTGAAAGTCAAAAAATAACAGATGCTGGCGAGGTTGCAGAGAAAAAGGAATACATATTATACACTGTTGTTGGGAGTGTAAATTAGTTCAGCCATTATGGAAGACAGTGTGGTGATTCCTCAAAGACCCAAAACCATTAATATTATTAGGCCCAGCAATCCCATTACTGTGTGTATACCTAAAGGAA